>NT_167247.2:1832521-2085614 GCF_000001405.40 Homo sapiens
GGCCAGGTTAGTCTTGAACTCCTGACCTCGTGATCTGCCTGCCTCGGCCTACCAAAATGCTGCGATTACAGGCGTGAGCCACCGTTCCCGGCCTATACGTTGTTTATTTTGGAAAAATTAAAAATTAAGTTTTTTTTCATTAAAGATATGTTATTTCCGATCAAGAGATCAAGACCATCCTGGCCAACATGGTGAAACCCCGTCTCTACTAAAAACACAAAAATTAGCTGGGTGTGGTGGCACACGCCTGTAGTTCCAGTTACTGGGGAGGCTGAGGCAGGAGAATCGCTTGAACCCGGGAGAAGGAGGTTGCAGTGAGCCGAGATCATGCCACTGCACTCCAGCCTGGGGACAGAGCAAGACTCTGACTCAAAAAAAAAAAAAAGTTGTTTCTATTAACATGTAATGGGTTATTAATATTCTCTTAAATGAATTAATATTTTTAATATTTTGTTTTAATATCTTTTAATTTATATATGATAAAAATTGATACAATCCACAGAAACAAAATTTATTTGGGTCCTCACTAATTTCTTTTTTCTTGTTGCCCAGGCTGGAGGGCAATGGCACGATCTTGGCTCACCGCAACCTCCTCCTCCTGGGTTCAAGTGATTCTCCTGCCTCAGCCTCCCAAGTAGCCAGGATTACAGCCATGCGCCACCACGCCGGCTAATTTTTTGGACTTTTAGTAGAGACAGGGTTTCTCCATATTGGTCGGGCTGGTCTCGAACTCCCAACCTCAGGTGATCAGCCCGCCTTGGCCTCCCAAAGTGCTGAGATTACAGGCGTGAGCCACCGCGCCCAGCCAGGACTAATTTCTAAGAGTGTGCAGAGATACCGAAACCTAAAAGTTTAAGAACTGCTGATTGCTGGGAAACTCTGCAGTTTCCCGTTCCTCTCGTAACCTGGTCATGTGTCCTTCTTCCTGGATACTCATGACGCAGACTCAGTTCTCATTCCCAATGGGTGTCGGGTTTCTAGAGAAGCCAATCAGCGTCGCCACGACTCCCGACTATAAAGTCCCCATCCGGACTCAAGAAGTTCTCAGGACTCAGAGGCTGGGATCATGGTAGATGGAACCCTCCTTTTACTCCTCTCGGAGGCCCTGGCCCTTACCCAGACCTGGGCGGGTGAGTGCGGGGTCGGGATGGAAACGGCCTCTACCGGGAGTAGAGAGGGGCCGGCCCGGCGGGGGCGAAGGACTCGGGGAGCCGCGCCGGGAGGAGGGTCGGGCCGATCTCAGCCCCTCCTCGCCCCCAGGCTCCCACTCCTTGAAGTATTTCCACACTTCCGTGTCCCGGCCCGGCCGCGGGGAGCCCCGCTTCATCTCTGTGGGCTACGTGGACGACACCCAGTTCGTGCGCTTCGACAACGACGCCGCGAGTCCGAGGATGGTGCCGCGGGCGCCGTGGATGGAGCAGGAGGGGTCAGAGTATTGGGACCGGGAGACACGGAGCGCCAGGGACACCGCACAGATTTTCCGAGTGAATCTGCGGACGCTGCGCGGCTACTACAATCAGAGCGAGGCCGGTGAGTGACCCCGGCCAGGGGAGCAGGTCACGACCCCTCCCCATCCCCCACGGACGGCGCGGGTCCCCTCGAATCTTCGGGTCCCAGATTCACCCCAAGGCTGCGGAACCCGCCCAGACCCTAGACCGGGGAGAGTCTCAGGCGCCTTTACCCGGTTCTTTTTCAGTTTAGGCCAAAATGCCCACAGGGTGGTGGCGACGGGGGCGGGGCTTGGTGGGCGGGACTGACTAAGGGGCGGGGCCAGGGTCTCACACCCTGCAGTGGATGCATGGCTGCGAGCTGGGGCCCGACGGGCGCTTCCTCCGCGGGTATGAACAGTTCGCCTACGACGGCAAGGATTATCTCACCCTGAATGAGGACCTGCGCTCCTGGACCGCGGTGGACACGGCGGCTCAGATCTCCGAGCAAAAGTCAAATGATGCCTCTGAGGCGGAGCACCAGAGAGCCTACCTGGAAGACACATGCGTGGAGTGGCTCCACAAATACCTGGAGAAGGGGAAGGAGACGCTGCTTCACCTGGGTAAGAGGGTCCACAGGGCTACTCTCCCAACTCCTTCTTGGGCTAGGACTGTGCCCACAGCTGACAGACCTCAAACAGTAGAAGAAACAGGGATGGAGGCCAGAATACCACTCCTCCCTTGGATCAGGAGAGGGAGCTGTCACCTGAGGTACAGGAGATCCTATACCACAGAGTGACTCTCTTAAAGGGCCAGACCTCTCTCAGGGGCAATTAAGGAATCTAGTCTCGCTGGAGATTCCATCCTTCAGATGAACTGATGAGCAGTTCTCTTTGACTCCCAGTATTAGGAATCACGGGGGAGTTTCTCTCGTGCCTGATTCTCAGCCCCACACCAAGAGTTTTTGGAGGTCTGACTCCAGCTTTTCTCAGTCACTCAGCATCCACACAGGCCAGGACCAGAAATCCCTTTTCACCTTCTACCCTGGGCTAGCTCATCCCGATTCTAGAACTTTCCAAGGAATAAGAGGCTATCCCAGATCCCTAAGTCCAGGCTGGTGTCAAGGTTTTGTCCTCTTCTCCTACTATAATTGTCCTCTTCCTTCTCAGGATGGTCACATGGGTGCTGCTGGAGTGTCCCATGAGAGATACAAAGTGCCTGAATTTTCTGACTCTTCCCCTCAGAGCCCCCAAAGACACACGTGACTCACCACCCCATCTCTGACCATGAGGCCACCCTGAGGTGCTGGGCCCTGGGCTTCTACCCTGCGGAGATCACACTGACCTGGCAGCAGGATGGGGAGGGCCATACCCAGGACACGGAGCTCGTGGAGACCAGGCCTGCAGGGGATGGAACCTTCCAGAAGTGGGCAGCTGTGGTGGTGCCTTCTGGAGAGGAGCAGAGATACACGTGCCATGTGCAGCATGAGGGGCTACCCGAGCCCGTCACCCTGAGATGGAGTAAGGAGGGGGATGGGAGGTCATGTCTCTTCTCAGGGAAAGCGGGAGCCCTTCTGGAGCCCTTCCGCAGGGTCAGGGCTGAGGCCTGGGGGTCAGGGCCCCTTACGTTCCCCTCTTTTCCCAGAGCCGGCTTCCCAGCCCACCATCCCCATCGTGGGCATCATTGCTGGCCTGGTTCTCCTTGGATCTGTGGTCTCTGGAGCTGTGGTTGCTGCTGTGATATGGAGGAAGAAGAGCTCAGGTGGGGAAGGGAGAAGGGTGGGGTCTGAGTTTTCTTGTCCCACTGGGTGTTTCAAGCCCTAGGTAAAAGTGTGTCCTGCCTCGTTACTGGGAAGCACCATCCACACACACGAGCCTACCCAGCCTGGGGCCCTGTGTGCCAGCACCTACTCTTTTTTTTTGAGACGGAGTCTTGGCTCTGTCACCCAGGCTGGAGTGCAATGGCGTGGTTTCAGCTCACTGCAACCTCCGCCTCCCAGGTTCAAGCAATTCTCCTGCCTCAGCCTCCCTAGTAGCTGGGACTACACATGCGTGCCACCACACCTGGCTAATTTTTTTTTTTGTATTTTTAGTGGAGATGGGGTTTCACTATGTTGGCCAGGCTGGTCTCGAACTCCTGACTTTGTGATCTGCCTGCCTCGGCCTCCCAAAGTGCTGGGATTACAGTCGTGAGCCACCGCACCCAGCCGCACCTACTCTTTTGTAAAGCACCTGTGACAATGAAGGACAGATTTATCACCTTGACGATTGTGGTGATGGGGACCTGATCCCAGCAGTCACAGGTCACAGGGGAAGGTCCCTGCTGAAGACAGACCTCAGAAGGGCAGTTGATCCAGGACCCACACCTGCTTTCTTCACGTTTCCTGATCCTGCCCTGGGTCTGCAGTCACAGTTCAGGAAACTTCTCTGGGATCCAAAACTAGGAGGTTCCTCTAGGACCTTATGGCCCTGCCTCCTCCCTGGCCCCTCACAGGACATTTTCTTCCAACAGGTGGAAAAGGAGGGAGCTACTCTAAGGCTGAGTGTAAGTGCGGGGCGGGAGCGTGGAGGAGCTCGCCCACCCTATAATTCCTCCTGCACCACATCTCCTGTGGGCTCTGACCAGGTCTTGTTTTTGTTCTACCCCAGGGAGCGACAGTGCCCAGGGGTCTGAGTCTCACAGCTTGTAAAGGTGAGATTCTGGGGGTCTGAAGTGGGTGGAGGGTGGGGCAGAGGGGACAGGACTGGGTTGTGGGGATTTTTTGATTCAGAATTTTTGAGTGTGTGGTGGGCTGTTCAGAGTGTCATCACTTACCGTGACTGACCTGAATTTGTTCATGACTATTTTCTTCTGTAGCCTGAGACAGCTGCCTTGTGTGCGACTGAGATGCACAGCTGCCTTGTGTGCGACTGAGATGCAGGATTTCCTCACGCCTCCCCTATGTGTCTTAGGGGACTCTGGCTTCTCTTTTTGCAAGGGCCTCTGAATCTGTCTGTGTCCCTGTTAGCACAATGTGAGGAGGTAGAGAAACAGTCCACCTCTGTGTCTACCATGACCCCCTTCCTCACACTGACCTGTGTTCCTTCCCTGTTCTCTTTTCTATTAAAAATAAGAACCTGGGCAGAGTGCGGCAGCTCATGCCTGTAATCCCAGCACTTAGGGAGGCCGAGGAGGGCAGATCACGAGGTCAGGAGATCGAAACCATCCTGGCTAACACGGTGAAACCCCGTCTCTACTAAAAAATACAAAAAATTAGCTGGGCGCAGAGGCACGGGCCTGTAGTCCCAGCTACTCAGGAGGCGGAGGCAGGAGAATGGCGTCAACCCGGGAGGCGGAGGTTGCAGTGAGCCAGGATTGTGCGACTGCACTCCAGCCTGGGTGACAGGGTGAAACGCCATCTCAAAAAATAAAAATTGAAAAATAAAAAAAGAACCTGGATCTCAATTTAATTTTTCATATTCTTGCAATGAAATGGACTTGAGGAAGCTAAGATCATAGCTAGAAATACAGATAATTCCACAGCACATCTCTAGCAAATTTAGCCTATTCCTATTCTCTAGCCTATTCCTTACCACCTGTAATCTTGACCATATACCTTGGAGTTGAATATTGTTTTCATACTGCTGTGGTTTGAATGTTCCCTCCAACACTCATGTTGAGACTTAATCCCTAATGTGGCAATACTGAAAGGTGGGGCCTTTGAGATGTGATTGGATCGTAAGGCTGTGCCTTCATTCATGGGTTAATGGATTAATGGGTTATCACAGGAATGGGACTGGTGGCTTTATAAGAAGAGGAAAAGAGAACTGAGCTAGCATGCCCAGCCCACAGAGAGCCTCCACTAGAGTGATGCTAAGTGGAAATGTGAGGTGCAGCTGCCACAGAGGGCCCCCACCAGGGAAATGTCTAGTGTCTAGTGGATCCAGGCCACAGGAGAGAGTGCCTTGTGGAGCGCTGGGAGCAGGACCTGACCACCACCAGGACCCCAGAACTGTGGAGTCAGTGGCAGCATGCAGCGCCCCCTTGGGAAAGCTTTAGGCACCAGCCTGCAACCCATTCGAGCAGCCACGTAGGCTGCACCCAGCAAAGCCACAGGCACGGGGCTACCTGAGGCCTTGGGGGCCCAATCCCTGCTCCAGTGTGTCCGTGAGGCAGCACACGAAGTCAAAAGAGATTATTCTCTTCCCACAGATACCTTTTCTCTCCCATGACCCTTTAACAGCATCTGCTTCATTCCCCTCACCTTCCCAGGCTGATCTGAGGTAAACTTTGAAGTAAAATAAAAGCTGTGTTTGAGCATCATTTGTATTTCATTTGTGCGTTTTGTGCCTTGTTGTTTTAATTTTTTAACCACATTCAAGCTATCCTTTGGCTTCCAATGCCATGGTCCACCCAGAACTGCATTCACTGGCCCATGTTCTAGTTCTGGTCATGCCGACTTTCCCGTTTTCCTGGTGAATCCCTGTAATCACCTGAGTCTCATTCTGTCAGGTGATATCCAGTAAGAAGGCAACATGTGCGGTGAGAAAGCCCAGGGAGTCCTGGGTGTGAATTTTTACTTTGCCATTTCTTCCTGTGTGACACGCGGTGGGGCTTCACCTGTCTGAGCTCCAGTTCCTCATCTTGTACGTGGCACTGTTTTCTTGGGAGAGTCATTATAAAGCTAATATAAAGTACCTGTACTGTGGTTTGAATGTGTCCTCCAAAAAGCATGTGTTGGAAACTGAATCCACAATGCAACCATATCGGGAAGTGAATCCTAATGGCTGGCTGGCCATGGAGGTTCCAACTTTATGAATGGATTAATACTGATTATAAAAGGGCTTGAGGTTGAGGCAAGTTCAACCTCTTGCCCTCACTCACCCACTTGCCTTTACCAAGAGATGATACAGCAAAAAGACTCACCAAATGCCGGGATCTTGATATTAGACTTCTTATCCTCCAGAACCATGAAATAGGCTGCTTTGCTTTATAAATTACTCAGTCTGCGTATTATATTACAGCAACACAAGATGGGCAACCTGATACTTAGGTTTCAGTTAGTGGTAGATATTTTTATTTCAAGCATTCCTACTGGAGTATTAGTTTCTTCATAAGCCCAGAATCTTTGCATTTTAGCAACAACAAATAAGTCTTTTTTTTTTTTTTTTTTGAGACTGAGTTTCACTCTTGTCACCCAGGCTAGAGTGCAATGGCATGACCTTGGCTCACTGCAAACTTGGCCTCCCAGGTTTAAGTGATTCTCCTGCTTCAGCCTCCCAAGTAGCTGGGATTACAGGCGCCTGCTACCACGCCCAGCTAATTTTTGTATTTTTAGTAGAGACAGAGTTTCATCATGTTGGCCAGCTGGTCTCGAACTCCTGATCTCAGGTGATCCACCCACCTTGGCCTCCCAAAGTGCTGGGATTATAGGCATGAGCCACCACGTTCCACCAGAAGTCTTAATTAATGCAAAGAAAATCAATCTATAGATTTGATGGAAATTTGGACTCCTATATCCTACTTTTTATCCCACTCCTATATACTACTCATAAGGAGTATAGAACTATTTTCCTTCTCTACTTGGTCTGCCCATTTCTACTTCCTGCCATATCGGCAGGCTATGTTTGCCTCACCTCAAAGATCTGCCTTCCTCAGTTTTAGATCTTAAATCTTTTTAAGCCAGACTCCAAGGGATCTTTAACAAATATTTATCGAACCCTTCCTGTGTTCAAAGAATGTTGTGAGGTCCAGGGTGGGACTAGGGGGCGAGAAAGGTTCCTGCGCTGAAGGAATCTAAGATTTAGTAACAATGAATAAACAGACTTGAAGATAACTATTGTGGTTAGCGCTGAAAGAAACGTACAAAATGCCAAAAGTCAAGGAGGAAACTATGTTTTCTAGGACAGTGGTTCCCAACATTTTTGGCATCAGGGACCGGTTTCATGGAAGACAATTTTTCGGAGGGGTGGTTTTGGGATGATTCAAGCGCGTTACCTGTATTGTGGACTTTATTTCTATTATTACATTATAATACATAATGAAATAATTATACAACTCACCATAATGTAGAGTCAGTAGGAGCCCTGAGCTTGTTTTCCTGCAACTAGACAGTCCCATCTGAGGGTGATGGGAGACACTGACAGGTCATCAGGCATTAGATTCTCATAGGAGCGAGCAACCTAGATCCCTCGCATGCACAGTTCACAATAAGATTCACACTCCTATGAGAATCTAACCCCACTGCTGATCTGACAGGAGGCAGAGCTCAGGCGCTAATGCTTGGTCACCTGCCACTCACCTCCTACTGTGCAGCCCAGTTCCTAACAGGCCATGGACCGGTACCAGTCCATGGCCCAGGGCTTGGGAACCCCTGTTTTAGGAGACTTAGGTTTTTCTAAAGGAAAAAATGTTTGAGTTATGCTTTGAAAAATGTAAGACACCACTGTAGATGTTTTAATCAGGGAATTGGGTTATTACCAAAAAAAAAATGTTGGAAGATGAAAGAGCAGGTTCTTTATGCCTCCTGGCTTGACCCTGGAACAATTTAGAACCAGCCCAGTGAGGCATGTACTCCCCATGAGGCCACACAAGAGCTGTGCTTTCTTAGATCTGGATCCCACTACCACATAGGGGTTCCTGGGCACCTGGACACCAGGGAAGAGGGGTCAACCAGGTCCCACTCCTCTGGCATGACACTCAGTGATTCAGTCAAGATACTGTTGGGAAAACAGCCCATGCCATGGGACTTCCCCATGGTCGGAAAAGTCTTGAATAGCTAAAAGCAAAACAGGATAGTTAGGCTGCATTATGTAGATAATGGTGACTCATGGGCAGGCCCTGCCTCCTTGGGCCATTGTATGTGAACAGATCTTTGTGTGATTATGGGATAATTCTGGGTTCTTTTCTCCATGTGCCTGTTCTTAATTGGCCCAGGAGAGGGAACCCAAGGGAAGGAGGAACCCGAGTGATCTTGTCCTCTTTTGACATCTCATTTCTAGCCACAAGGTTATGAATCATAGATCTCCAGAAGTCAGTGGTCCTAGAGGAAAAAAGCATCTGCCATAGCAGCAGAATGACAGGGAGACAGCTATTCCTATTACTAGAGTTTTAACAGCCCCTCTCAGCCAGCTAGCCCAGACTAGGATCTTAACGGGGGCTGGGACTTACTTCCATATATTGTAAATGATGTAACCTTGTCTTCATGATGACCTTAAATATATCTTGATGAACAGTATAAGAAAGCAAATGAAGCCTGGGCGCGGTGGCTCACGCCTGTAATCCCAGCACTTTGGGAGGCTGAGGCGGGTTGATCACCTGAGGTTGGGAGTTCAAGACCAGCCTGACCAACACGGAGAAACCCTGTCTCTACTAAAAATAAAAAATTAGCTGGGCGTGGTGGCGCATGCCTGTAATCCTAGCTACTCAGGAGGCTGAGGCAGGAGAATCGCTTGAACCCAGGAGGCTGAGGTTGTGCAGTGAGCCAAGATCACACCATTGCACTCCAGCCTGAGCAAGAAGAGTGAAACTGCGCTTCGAAAAGAAAGAAAGAGAGAGAGGGAGGGAGGGAGGAAGGAAGGAAGGAGAGAGAAAGAAAGAAAGAGAGAGAGAAAGAAAGAAAGGAAAGAAGGAAAGAAGGAAAGAAAGGAAGAAAGGAAGAAAGAAAGAAAGGCAAATGATCACTTAGAGGATTTTGTTTGGTAGTTAAAACCATTTTGAAACAGAGGGAGGGAAGAAATCACCTATGCTTCCTCAGTGGTAAAGAGACTGGGAACCACCACGCCAGAGTTAGAAAATATGAGGCAACAGAAGGGCTGTTATATGTAGTGAAAATTTCCAAACCCGGTCCCCTGGAGGGAATACTTGGTGACTGGGCCTTAGAGGAAAGAGATGCTTGTCCAGCCCATTGCCTGTGTGTCCAGGAGAGACTGTGCCCACCTTGAGAGACTGAGAGAAGACCCTAGTGAGGAGAAGCCCCCAGGCCAGCCGTCAGCACAGGGCATTGGAGGTCCCCAACCAGCTCCAAGTCCTGAACAGAGCACAGCCTCCAGAGGTTTGTACTGTTCATACCCAGCAGAGGCTGTGTGCCAGCCCTCCCCATGCAAATCAGCGTCCCTGCAGGGTATGTAAAGGACCTCTACCTATGCTTTCTATGGGGGAACAAATATCCCATGGGACACTGAAAGACTATGGAACATTGTAGAACATGTATTTACCAAACTGTGTCCAACTCAGAGCCTAAATTGTTTATTGGTGCTGTTTCAACCAGTACACGTGATTCTTTTTTTTTTTTTTTTTTTTAGTATTTATTGATCATTCTTGAGTGTTTCTCGGAGAGGGGGATTTAGCAGGGTCATAGGACAATAGTGGAGGGAAGGTCAGCAGATAAACATGTGAACAAAGGTCTCTGGTTTTCCTAGGCAGAGGACCCTGCGGCCTTCTGCAGTGTTTGTGTCCCTGGGTACTTGAGATTAGGGAGCGGTGATGACTCTTAATGAGGATGCTGCCTTCAAGCATCTGTTTAACAAAGCACATCTTGCACCGCCCTTAATCCATTTAACCCTGAGTGGACACAGCACATGTTTCAGAGAGCACGGGGTTGGGGGTAAGGCTATAGATCAACAGCATCCCAAGGCAGAAGAACCTCTCCCAGTACAGAACAAAATGGAGTCTCCCATGTCCACCTCTTTCCACACAGACACAGTAACAATCTGATCTCTCTTTCTTTTCCCCACATTTCCCCCTTTTCTATTCGACAAAACCGCCATCGTCATCATGGCCCGTTCTCAATGAGCTGTTGGGTACACCTCCCAGACGGGGTGACGGCCGGGCAGAGGGGCTCCTCACTTCCCAGACGGGCCGGGCAGAGGCGCCCCCCACCTCCCGAACGGGGCGGCTGGCAGGGCGGGGGCTGCCCCCCACCTCCTGGACGGGGCGGCTGCCGGGCGGAGACGCTCCTCACTTCCCAGACGGGGCGGCTGCCGGGCGGAGGGGCTCCTCACTTCTCAGACAGGGCGGCCCGGCAGAGACGCCCCTCACCTCCCAGACGGGGTGGCGGTCGGGCAGAGACACTCCTCAGTTCCCAGACGGGGTCGCCGCCGGACAGAGGCGCTCCGCACATCCCAGACGGGGCGGCGGGGCAGAGGCGCTCCCCACATCTCAGACGATGGGCGGCCGGGCAGATACGCTCCTCACTTCCTAGATGGGGTGGTGGCCGGGCAGAGGCTGCAGTCTCGGCACTTTGGGAGGCCAAGGCAGGCGGCTGGGAGGTGGAGGCTGTAGCGAGCCGAGATCACGCCACTGCACTCCAGCCTGGGCAAGATTGAGCACTGAGTGAGCGAGACTCCGTCTGCAATCCCGGCACCTCGGGAGGCCGAGGTGGGCAGATCACTCGCGGTCAGGAGCTGGAGACCAGCCCGGCCAACACGGGGAAACCCCATCTCCACCAAAAAATACAAAAACAAAAAAAACCAAAAAAAAAACCAAGTGATTCTTTCTGCAGAGGACATCTTGGCTCTTGGCACTCCACCACAGACTTGGTATGAGATCCTGGCTGAGCACTTTTTTTTTTTTTTTTTTTTTTTTTTTTTTGAGACAGAGTTTCGCTCTTGTTTCCCAGGCTGGAGTGCAGTGGCATGATCTTGGCTCACTGCAACCTCCGCCTCCTGGATTCAAGCGATTCTCCTGCCTCAGCCTACGGAGTAGCTGGGATTACAGGCATGTGCCATCACGCCCCGGCTGATTTTGTACCTTTAGTAAAGACGGGGTTTCTCCATGTTGGTCAGGCTGGTCTCGAACTCCCGACCTCAGGTGATCCACACACCTTGGCCTCCCAAAGTGCTGGGATTACAGGCGTGAGCCAACGCACCCAGCCTGGCTGAGCACTTTCAAGTCTCATTCCTAACATCTGTCAGTTAAGCTGGGATAACAATTATCTGACTGACTGCACGGAATTCTGAATGAATTGAATTGGATAATACATGTAAATCCTTGTGGTGGGAATTTGGGTGCCATTTTCTTTGCATTATGAAAATCCAGGTCAACTCTTCTTTCTTCTCCCAATTGTTTTTATTGCACATCTATAAAAACAAGAAAAGAATTTTCTTGCTTTTCTTTTTTTTGAGACACAGTCTCGCACTGTCGCCCAGGCTGGAGTGCAATGGCACAACCTCTGCTCACTGCAAACTCTGCCTCCTGGGTTCATGCCATTCTCCTGCCTCAGCCTCCTGAGTAGCTGGGATTACAGGTGCATGCCACCACGCCCAGAAAATTTTTTGTATTTTTAGTAGAGACGAGGTTTCACCGTGTTAGCCAGGATGGTCTCAATCTCCTGTCCTCATGATCTGCCCACCTCCGGCTCCCAAAGTGCTGGGATTACAGTCATGAGCCACCGCGCCTGGCCAAGAATTTTCTAATAAACAAGAAAAACCTCACCTGTAATCCCACTACTTGGTACAATAATCATACTTATTTTTCTTTATTTCCTTCCAGTGTGAGCAAGGACAATTTAGCTTTGGGAACCCACAAAGAAACCATTTCAATTAAAAGCACAGGAAGCCCCACCAGTCCCATGAGGTTTTTGCCACCCCTAAGTAGTTCCATATGAGAAATTAAGAGTAGCGATGCTTGCTTTGAGGAATTGGAGGGAAAACTAAAATGAAAGTTGAATTTGGATAAGAGAAAAATCAAGGGCACTCACTCTTCCCAACCCCAGCCTGTCTGACTCTCTCCCCATCATCCTCCTCACTACTTTCAGGCAGGGTGGAGATAGCACCAGGGGGAGATTCTGGGAGACAGGGCACTACTGCAAGAACAGCAGGACAGCCCCACTGGTGGCTGTGGGATGCTCCGTGGCCCTGCCTACTGCTGTTCTGGAGGATGCACCGCCTCGCTTTCCTTTCTGGTGTTAGAGCCAGGTGACTCTGTCCAAAGAGTAGGTTCTTTTTCCCCACAGAGGCAAACAGGAAACGTTTCCTTTCCTAACTAGCTCTGCCTAGTGCCTGGAATCTTACTGAGTCAGTCCCGCAGTAAGTCAGCAGCTCAGGAAATCTACCCTCTCTGAGCCTCCCTGCAGTTCAAGCTGCTTAGGGAACTTGATATTTTCAAGACATCTGTCTACACATGGGCAGCCCAGCCGCCGAGTTAGTGGTGGCAACCAAAGCGAACAGAGGACTTGGCTTCCTGAAAACAGAGGCAAAGAAGTATAGCTATCCAACCTTCTGAGTCTTGTCTCTATATGGAGATGCCCATATGGACAAATAGGGTCTGGACAAGGGGAAGGGTTAACATGAGAAAGTCACATGATTTCTGCTATGCTATTCCTCTGTGCGCTTACCCTTTCTGTTTCTAAATATTTCAGCTAAAAGACAATAAATACTGCAACCCTTACATTCCTTCAGCCCTGCTTTCACTTGTCCTGGGTGTCCTGACTGTCATCTTCATTCATTTATATCAAACACCATTCAATCAATACTTACTACAAGCAAACTATATGTGAGATCAAGAGTACTATTCAAAATAGTTGACAGCTGGTATGGCAATGGAAATTAATATATAAATAAAATTTTCCCAATTATGCTATTTTTCTGTCCTAACTAAATGATTATAAAACTACTTACCAAGTGACACAGTTGAAATATAAATAATTTCTTAAATAGTTATAACAATTTCCAAATTATTTATTGATTTTTAAACATTTTTTGCATTTCTTAGGTGGTAATTATTGGTTAAGTGATATATGCCTATGTTAGCCATGATTTGACAAAAGAGCCTTGTATAAGCTTCTGATAATTTCCCCATTAAATTGTTTGTATATTATGACGTATGTAATCAACTATATTGTTCATGGTGCCAAATCCTCTCTCACTTTAGCAGCTATGTTAAAGATTTTTTAGCCCTTGAACTGCTGTCTGAAATTCTTTTTCTTTCTTTTTTTTTTTTCTTTTTTTGAGACAGTCTCACTCTGTCGCCCAGGCTGGAGTGCAGTGGTGCGATCTTGGCTCACTGCAACCTCCACCTCCCCGGTTCAAGCAATTCTCCTGTCTCAGCCTCCCGAGTAGCTGGGATTGCAGGCACATGCCACCACGCCCAGCTACTTTTTGTATTTTTAGTAAAGAGGGGGTTTCACCACGTAGGCCAAGCTGGTCTCAAACTCCTGACCTCAAATGATCCACCTGCCTCGGCCTCCCAAAGTGCTGGGATTACAGGCATGAGCCACCACGCCTGGCCTAGAAATTCTTTTTTTTTTTTTTGAGACGGAGTCTCCTGTCGCCCAGGCTGGAGTGCGGTGGCGCGATCTCAGCTCACTGCAAGCTCCTCCTCCCGGGTTCACGCCATTCTCCTGCCTCAGCCTCCTGAGTAGCTGGGACTACAGGCGCCTGCCACCATGCCTGGCTCATTTTTTGTATTTTTAGTAGAGACGGGGTTTCACCATGTTAGCCAGGATGGTCTCGATCTCCTAACCTTGTGATCTGCCCGCCTCGGCCTCCCAAAGTGCTGGGATTACAGGCATGAGCCACCGCGCCCGGCCTAGAAATTCTTATTATTTAATATCTCCGTTCACTCCACCACAAAAATCAATTAATAAAAGCCATCTTTAATAAGTAGGCTTAATTGTATTGATTAAATTAAAAATTGTCTTGATTTAATTGGTTACATCTATGAAGCTTTGTAAACATCCTTCATGGTTGACTTAATTTAAAAATTTTAAGTTCTTAATATATTTTACTTTTGTCATCAAACTACAATTGCAATCACATAAATTATTAGATAATCTAATTGACTTTTTCTCTTGAAGTTGACATTTTTCTTTCAAATGGTATATCATATTTTTAAACAATACTATCTACTTTTTCCCCTTTGCTTTATGTATTTAATTTTATATATTAACTGATTCTTATTTTTCTACAATTAATCCAGCTTCTGTAATTTTTAATATTTCCTCTGGAAAGGATAAAGATAACATTGACATCTCTGTTAATATATAAGTTATTAACGTCAAATTTCTGGGAAAAAAAGTTTATGTCCTAAACACTTACTACTCCCATTTCACAACTTCTATTAAAGTGAATATAAAAGGTTTGGTACAATTCCCTAATGCTCTTGGCATCCCACTATTACAGAGTGCCCAAATATGCTTTCTAGTTTCATGACTTCAATTCCAGTATCTTTAGAAATATTTTTAATTTTCCCAAATGCTTATTTCATATGTAGTTGTGAATATAAAGTTTAGTGAGGCAAATATTTGAAGTAATTTTTCATTTAAACATTTTACTGCATCATCCTGACATCACTGAATACAGTAACTTATATAGTACCAATTTAAAATATAAAGAGACTTTTTTTTTTTTTTTTTTTGAGACAGATTGTCGCTCTGTCACCAGGCTGGAGTGCAGTGGCATAATCTCTGCTCACTGCAAACTCTGCCTCCCAGGTTCAAGCGATTCTCCTGCCTCAGCCTCCCAAGCAGCTAGGACTATAGGTGCATGCCACCACGCCCAGCTAATTTTTGTATTTTTTTGTAGAGACAGGGTTTCACCATGTTGGCCAGGATGGTCTCAATCTCTTGACCTCGTGATCTGCCTGCCTTGGCCTCCCAAAGTGCTGGGATTACAGGCATGAGCCATTGTGCCTGGCCATATAGAGACTTCTCTAAAACTTTGGCTTCTCTGAACTTTCTCTGTGACATATACTAGAACCATCTGTAGCATTGTGTAACCATTTCACATCAAAACCACTTTTCTTGAGCACTGATGAGTAAGTAAGCTTGATACATCATTTCAGTTCCTCAGATGAGCAAAAATCATTAGTTTTATATCATCAGTTTTATAAGTCTGAAATTTAGTATTTAAGTCACTAATAAAAACACATTTTTGTGGCCGGGCGTGGTGGCTCACACCTGTAATCCCAGCACTTTGAGAGGCCAAGGTGTGCGGATCACGAGGTCAGGAGATCAAGACCATCCTGGCTAACACAGTGAAACCCCGTCTCTACTAAAAATACAAAAAATTAGCCGGGCATGGTGGCAGGCGCCTGTAGTCCCAGCTGCTCGGGAGGCTGAGGCAGGAGAATGGTGTGAACCTGGGAGGTGGAGCTTGCAGTGAACCGAGATCGCGCCACTGCACTCCAGCCTAGGTGACAGAGTGAGACTCCGTCTCAAAAAAAAAAAATTTTTTTTTGTTACATAATTGAAGCTTTCTTGGTGATGATTGATTGCCTAGATTTATAAATTTACTAAAAAGTTGTCTCATCATGGTAGATATACGTTTTGTGACCATTGTAACCATTAATGTAGACTGCAATGATATGCACTATTTACAACCTTTTTTAAGACTCTATTTAGCAGTAGACTAATTACACAGTAGGTAATATTAGCATTCTAATGGTACTTTTTCAATGTTTTGTTCTTTTTATGATACAAAGTATTTCAGGGGATTTATTATTTCAAAGACTTCATTATGTGAAGCTCATTCATAATATTCTTCAAATTCTTCTTATTACTAGTTTTTCCCTGAATTCTGAGCACCGACAATATGCTAGAACATTCACCTTTTCACACATCCACAAGATGTGTGCTTTGCATATCGTTTTCATTTAATATTTACATTTCAAGCAATAATCAGCTACCTGTGAGTTTTGTCAAAATTATCAGGGGTTTTTTGTTTGTTTGTTTTTTGACATGGAGTTTTGCTCTTGTTGCCCAGGCTGGAGTGCAATGGCGCCATCTCAGCTCACTGCAACCTCCACCTCCTGGGTTCAAATGATTATCCTGCCTCAGCCTCCCCAGTAGCTAGGATTACAGGCATGCACCACCACACCTGGCTAATTTTATATTTTTAGTAGAGACAGGGTTTCTCCATGTTGGTCAGGCTGGTCTCGAACTCCCAACCTCAGGTGATTCACTCACCTTGAGCTCCCAAAGTGCTGGGATTACAGGCATGAGCCAATACACCTGGCCAATTATCAGGTTTTTAATTAAATTTTAGAAATGTGAATTATTGTTTCCTTTGAACTGAATCTTATGCAATACTGAAAGCATTCCCACCTGCCATAATCTTTGCATATCAGTTGTTCCAGGCTGTGATTCAATATTAATACCATTGGTTTCATGATTTGTCTCAGATTCAGAAGAGTCATGTTTACAGTATCTAAAAGCAATGTTTAAAATGTATGTAGGCCTGGCACTGTGGCTTATGCCTGTAATCCCAGCACTTTGGGAGGCTGAAGCTGATGGATCACCTGAGGTCAGGAGTTTGAAACCAGCTTGGCCAACATGACGAAACCCCATCTCTACTAAAAATACAAAAATCGGCTGGGCGCGGTGGCTCATGCCTGTAATCCCAGCACTTTGGGAGGCCAAGGCAGGTGGCTCACCTGAAGTCAGGAGTTCAAGACCAGCCTGACCAACATCGTGAAACTCCGTCTCCACTAAAATACAAAAAATTAGCCAGGCATGGTGGTACATGCCTGTAGTCCCAGCTACTTGGGAGGCTGAGGCAGGAGAATTGCTTGAACCCGGGAGGCAGAGGTTGCAGTGAGCTGAGATTTCGCCATTGCACTCCAGCCTGGGCAACAAAAGTGAAACTCTGTCTCAAAAAAAAAAAAAAAAAAAAAACCCTTCTGTCTCAAAAAAAAAAAAAAAACCCTTCTGTCTCAAAAAAAATAAAATAAAACAAAAATATAAAAATTTGGTGGGTGTGGTGGCACACACCTGTAGTCCCAGCTACTCAGGAGACTGAGGCAGGAAGATCGCTTGAACCTGGGAGACAGAAGTTGCAGTGAGCCGAGATCACACCACTGCACTCCAGCCTGGGCAACAGAGTAAGACTCTTATCTCAGAAAATAAGTAAATAGATAAATAAATAAAATGTATTTAAACTTTGTCACTTCACTCTTACTGTTTACTATTCTAAGT
This sequence comes from Homo sapiens, assembly GCF_000001405.40. Lineage (NCBI taxonomy): Eukaryota > Metazoa > Chordata > Mammalia > Primates > Hominidae > Homo > Homo sapiens. The sequence goes on from NT_167247.2 coordinate 1,849,841, forward strand.
TCTTGAATTTATAGATATCAAAACACTGCACAGTTATTATTTCCAGATGAATAATAACACAATAACAATAGAAACAAGGAAAAGCCAAACAAATATACTATTTATAAGTTACAGCATGTGAGGATAACAATTAACTGATGATTTTCCTAAACCACAAAACAATGAATGTACAATGGTGACATGGCTGAACCAGCCGGTGGTGCCATAAATGATTCTCAGATGCTGCAGTGCAGGAGACCCATCCATTGATGATCACTGTGATAGACTAAGACAAATAGTTAATTAGTTAATGAGATATTAGAATTTCTAGTACTTATTAATTTTACCACCTATCACGATAACCATTCTATTTTCTGTAACAATCAGTATTGGCTGTACTAGTGCACACTGGCTGGATGCCAGTGTGTAAGACAATGCCATAAAGGGCTATATGAGCATTAGCTACTATGCTATGACTTTTAACATTGAGTTGATTAGGTTCAAGGGTCAGGTGGGGCACTTTTAGAAATTACAGTAACAGAGGCCCTCAGGAGGTAGGATTCCCTTTTCTTTTTGGAGACAGAGTCTTACGCTGTCACCCAGGCTGGAGTGCAATGGCGGGATATCGGCTCACTGCAACCTCCGCCTCCCAAGTTCAAGCAATCCTCCCACCTCAGCCTCTTGAGTAGCAGGGATTACAGGCATCTGCCACCACGCCTGGCTAATTTTTGTATTTTTATTTTTATTTTTGTTTTGAGATGGAGTTTCATTCTTGTTGCCCAGGCTGGAGTGCAATAGCGCAATCTTGGTTCACCGCAACCTCCACCTCCGAGGTTCAAGCAATTCCTGCCTCAGCCTCCTAGGTAGCTGGGATTACAGGGATGTGCCACCACACCTCGCTAATTTTGTATTTTTAGTAGAGACGGGTTTTCTTTTTTTCTTTTTTTTTTTGGGGGGGATGGAGTCTGGCTCTGTCGCCCAGGCTGGAGTGCAGTGGCACGATCTCGTGAGGATGGCTCACTGCAAACTCCATCACCCGGGTTCAAGGGATTCTTCTGCCTCAGCCTCCCAAGTAGCTGAGATTACAGGCGTCTGCCACTGTGCCTGGCTAATTTTTATATTTTTGATAGAGACGGGGTTTCACCATGTTGGCCAGGCTGGTCTCAAACTCCTGACCTCAGGTGATCAGCCCACCTTGGCCTCCCAAAGGGCTGGGATTACAGGCGTGAGCCACCGTGCCCGGCCAAGGCAGGGTTTCTCCATGTTGGTCAGTCCGGTCTTGAACTCCCGACCTCAGGTGATCCACCCACCTCGGCCTCCCAAAGTGCTGGGATTACAGGTGTGAGCCACTGCGCCCGGCCTAATTTTTGTATTTTTAGTAGAGTAGAGCTGTGATCATGCCACTGTACTCTAGCCTGGGTGACAGAGTGAGATGAGACCCTGTCTCTTAAAAAAAAAAAAATGGCCAGGCGCCATGGCTTATGCCTGTAATCCCAACACTTTGGGAGGCTGAGGCAGGTGGATCACTTGAGGTCAGGAGTTTGAGACCAGCCTGGCCAACATAGTGAAACCCTGTCTCTACTAAAAATACAAAACTTGCCAGGCGTGGTAGAGGGCGTCAGTAATTCCAACTACTTGGGAGGATGAGGCAGGAGAATCGCTTGAAGCCAGGAGGCGGAGGTTGTAGTGAGCCAAGATCCCCCCATTGCACTCCAGCCTGGGCAACAGAGCAAGACTCCGTCTCAAAAAAAAAGAAAGAAAGAAAAGAAAAGAAAAGAAAAGGAAATATGCAGTCTATTTAGGAAAGAATGCATGAGTTTGTTCATAAAGCATAACAGTGGGCGTGGGTAACCAATGAAGACTGCTCGGAATATCCATTAAGCACAAATTCCTGCGAAAATACATAAGACCACAGGCACCAGATTCCACAACAAAGTGTGTGTGTGTGTCGACATGCATGTGTGTGTGTGTGCACGCACATGCATGTGTGTGGGGGGTGTGCCTGTGTGTTTGTGTGCACATGGGTGTGTATGTGTGCTGGTGTGGAGAAAACCTGATTAATAATGTCCAAGCCACACTCCAAGACCTCTTCCACTCAGGCTGGGGTCCCAGGAGCAGATGGTGGGCAAAGGGCAGGAATAACCTGTGCCTCAAGCTGCAAACAGGATCCATAAAATAGCCAAAAGACAGTGTTCGGGGTGTAACTAAACTTATGAGGCAAAGAGGAGAGACTGGGAGAGGACTGAGAGGAAAACCAGGTGTGAGGCTGTCATGCAAAGCAGGTCCCTTGGGGTCACCACCTGTTGTTCACCAGGGCTCAGGATAAAAGCCAGAATATCGCATGCTATGGGTTAAGAAATAGGCTTTTGAGGGAATTTTCAATTCAGTGTCAGCAAGTAAAGAGAAAGCATGAGTCCAATTCCTTTTATTTTTCCATAGAAGAGCAAACCAGGCACACTACTGGACATGCAGGTGGAGGGGAGGGATGAGGCAGTGTGTTATTGCTCTCCATTATGAGTCAAGCATGAGAGCAGCCTTATCAATGAAGAGGCACACAAACAGCGTAGGCACCTAGCACTCTTGATTAGAGTGTCAGTTATTGACAGGTTGTGCTAACCTGACTTCTAAGATGGTCTCCAGTGATCCCCCATCTTAGTATTCGAGTCTTTGTGGAATCCTTCCCACCTTGAGTTTGGTATGGACCTTGTCACTTAATTCTAACCAATGGAATATGACAAAGGTGAAAGTCTATCATATCCATGAGTAGACAATAAGAGTTTGTGGCTTTTATCTTGCTAGCAGACTCATTTACTGACTCAAGTAATCAAGCTGCCATGTTAAGGAGGTCCATGTGGTGAGGAACTGAGAGTGCTCTCAACTCAACATTCAAGAGGAACCAAACCTTCAGTCCTACCACCCTTCGTGCTTCCTACCAACAACTAAGTTAGTGAGCTTGGAAGCTCATCCTTTCCTAGTTGAGTCTTCAGGGAAGACCCCAACTATGATTGCAGCCTTGAGGGGCCCTGAAGAGAGGACCCAGCTATGCTGTATTGAATTGCTGTCCTTCAAATATTGTGAGATAATAAGGGTGTGTTGTTTTAAGCCACTTATTTTAGGACAATTTTTATGCTGTAATGATAACTAATATACAGGAGATGTTCAAAAATACAAGCTACCCAGGAACTGGAGACCTAGGGGCCCATGGCTAGTCACACGTCCCTCTGCCAGGAGTGAGAAAAACACCCCTGGTTCCACTGGATTCTAACTTTTGGAAACCCCACTCACTGGAAGAAGAGGGAGCCCCAGGTTCTAATGAGTTTGTTTTTCAGGCAACCCAGAATGACCTCCCAGCATCATTTCCAGACAGTGTGGCTCCTGACATCACAAATATAGTAGAATAACACCAAACTGAGTAAATAGGACAGTAGGCTGCAGACCCCCTCATGTGCCAATGATCTTTATAAAGACTTAAAACCTCACTATGCATAGAGTTGATAAAGGCACCAAATGAACCAGAGAAAGGAGACTCAAGTCAAGAAAATGTATCTCAACTAGGAAATGTTTTTGTGACCACAAAGGGGAGGAACCAGGAAGTTGTGGTAAACTGTAGCGGAAGTTAAAGCTAAAAAAAAAAATGAGAGAGAACCAGTGAATTTAAAAATACTTAACAGACATAATGACAAAAAGTAGTAAGTACATCTCTTTGGATCGTGAGAAAGAAGATCAGGAATGAAAGATCTAGCTGGGCCTTCCCCCACCCTCCCCAGCCTTGGTTCCCTGATTAGTGCTCCAGGCCTCTCCAGGGCCTGACACTCAATCTTCTCTTGGGAACTAATTATGGCAATGTACCACGAGGTACTGTTCCTCAGACTAAACGTGGTTTTTTGTTTGTTTGTTTGTTTTTTAGACAGGCTCTCACTCTGTCACCCAGGCTGGAGTGCAGTGGCACAATCTCAGCTCACTGCAACCTCTGCCTCCCCAGTTAAAGCAATTCTCCCACCCACTTCAGCCTCCCCAGTAGCTGGGACTACAGGTGCACGCCACCATGCCCTGCTTTATTTTTATTATTATTATTATTATTATTATTTGTATTTTTGGTAGAGACGAGGTTTCACCATGTTGGCCAGGCTGGTCTCAAACTCCTGGGCTCAAGTGGTCTGCCCGCCTCAGATTCCCAAAGTGCTGGGATTACAGGCATGAGCCACTGTGCCCAGCGTAAACGTGGTTTCTTATGTTTTTAAATTCCCCTTGAAAATATTCTCTTGTGACCAAAAAAGACCCTTGGGTGTACAGAGAATAGGTTTTGTCATAACTGTAACTAATGTGAGCTTCCACTAAAAACCCAAGATACAAATATATTCACAACTTTATTTTTCCAGTGATCCATTCTAATACCTCTTGGGGCTTCCTGTGAAATGTCTAAGCACCCCACAGCCAAAGGGTACACTCGTAGTCCCCTTCAGTGCTAAGAACAGAAAAGAAGCTGTTGCTTTTCTCTGCTATAGGTGTTGCTGTTGAAAATTCATCCCACACAATTGATGGAGATAATTTTCACTGCTTTAGTCACCTAAACAGGCCTTGCTGATCCACATTCCTGTTCAGATTACTAGGATTCTCTAAGGGAGGGATGATTGTTGAAGCTGAGTGATGGAAACACTTTGCTATTCTTTCTAATTTTTTATAAATTTTAAGTTTTCAATAATAAAAAGTTAAAAACCAAAAATTAAAAGAATCTGACAGGCCAGATATGGTGGTTCACGCCTGTAATACTAGCACTTTGGGAGGCTGAGGCAGGAGGATCGCTTGAGGCCAGGATTTCGAGGCTAGCCTGGGCAACATAGTGAGACACTATCTCTACACAAAAAAAATTTAAATTGAAAACAAAACGGCATTCCGGCTCCTTGGAGAAACGGTCGATTCTAGGACTGGGGCATCCTATGATGTCAGAAAGTATTTACATGCTCGATTAAAAGGTGAGAACCATATCAAAGGGACACAGGAGCCAACTGGAAATAATTCCAATAGTTAAAATGGAAACAATTTGAGCAACAAAATAAGTAATAATGGAATTGGATTATAACCCATAGAATAAAATAAGTATCCATTAGCCCATATTGATAAAAGAAATTCTTAAATAAATAAATGGGAAGATGTGGCAGTACTTTTTCACAGAAGAATTCATTAGCAAAGCCTAACGGTGTGGCTAGCCTGCGTCATGACAATGGTTGGGAGAAGCAGCAAAATAGCAGACTAGCCAGAAATTTAAAAGGGAAATCAAAGGAACAAAACAGACAAAGAATGCCTTAGTAAAATACCATTTAACTTTGGTAGTTTAAAAAGCTATGTGCAGCACACAGGGTTATAACTGCTTAGAAGAGAGACTTGAGAAGGCTATAGGAAGCTACTCCTCCCTGCAACTAAATATGAGGTCTCAGAAATAAAGAGAAAGCCATGGCTCACTTGTAAACTCTCTGAACTTTGAAAGTACCCTCCAAATCACACACAGCTCCAACAGCAGGGTTAGAAGCCTTACTGGCTTAAGGCATTTAAGCACAAACTCTAACAGATCACTGGCTGACCATTAAGCTATGCTGATCCAGGGGCAACCCCTAAGAATTCAGGCTTAAAAATAAAAATAAGAATTAAAAAAGGACGGGAGGCTGAGGCAGGAGAATCGCTTGAACCCAGGAGGCAGAGGTTGCAGTGAGCCGAGATCACGCCGTTGCACTCTAGCCTGGGCAACAAGAGTGAAGCTCTGTCTCAAAAACAAAAAGGAACCTGAGCAGAAATATCTGAGCAGAAATATCTGAAGCCTCATACTGCATACTGCAAGGGAAAAGGACTCCACTGAATTAGTACAGGCAAGTCACTATAAAAATATCTGAACCCTCATACTGCAAGGGAAAGGGACTCCACAGAATTAGTACAGGCAAGTCACTATAAAAACAAACAAAACAACAACCACCTTCACCCCCAAGAGAAAGAAATTGGAATCCAGAGCTAGCATATATTGTCTAAAATTTTCAGTTTTCCAAAAAAGTTACAAAAGGGCAAAGAAATAGGAAAATGCAATCCATTTGCAGGGAGAAACAGTCAATAGAAATTGTCGGCCAGGCACGGTGGCTCATGCCTGTAATCCCTGCACTTTGGGAGGCTGAGGTGTGTGGATCATTTGAGGTCAGGAGTTCGAGACCAGCCTGGCCAACATGGTGAAATCTGTCTCAATAAAAATACAAAAATTAGCTGGGCATGGTGATGCACACCTGTAATCCCAGCTACTCGGGAGGCTGAGGCAGGAGAATTGCTTGAACCACGGAGTCAGAGGTTGCAATGAGCTAATATCATGCCACTATACTCCAGCCCTGGAAATGGAGTGAGACTCTGTCTCAAAAAAAAAAAAAAAAATTGATTCACACCTAAACATTAATATATTATACTGAAACTATTACCAGCCAAAAATAGAAATGACATCTTAAAAGCAATGAGAAAAAACTCATCTCATACAAATACACTCATACACACAGACACAATAATCTTAATAGCTAACCTCATCAGTAACAATGGAGGTTAGAAGGCTGTAACATGGGCTGGGTGCCGTGGCTCATGTCTATAATCCCAGCACTTTGAGAGGCTGAGGCAGGCAGATCACGAGGTCAAGAGTTCAAGACCAGCCTGGCCAACATGGTGAAACCCCATCTCTACTAAGAATATAAAAATTAGCTGGGTGTGGTGGTACATGCCTGTAATCCCAGCTACTCGGGAGGCTGAGGCAGGAGAATTGCTTGAACCCGGGAGGCGGAGGCGCAGTGAGCCAAGATTGTGCCACTGCACTCCAGCCTGGGCAACAGAGCAAGACTCTGTCTCAAAAAAAAAAAAAAATTAAAGAAGACAGTAACATATGCAAATTTGGGGGTTAGTGGGGAGAAGCTAGCAATCAAGAATTTTACATCAAGAAAAATTATCCTTCAAAACTGAAGACCGGTACAGGGACAGTGGTTTGCACCCATAATCCCAGCACTTTGGGAGGCCAAGGTGGGAGGATCGCTTGAACCCAGGAGTTCAAGACCAGCCTGGGCAACAAAGTAAGACCCTGTCTCTGCAAAAAAAAAAAAAAAAAAAAAATTTAGCCATGTGTGGTAGTGCACACCTGTAGTCCTAGCTACTCAGGAGGCTGAGGCAGGAGGCTCTCTTAGGCCCGAGAGATTGAGGTTGCAATGAGACATGATCATGCCACTACACTCCGGCCTGGGCAACAGAGCGAGACCCTGTCTCCAAAACCAAAATTTATTCTAAAGAAAACAAAAAGAGAAGCCAACATGAACATATTCTTACATAAACAAAGACTAGGGAGATTTATCTCTTGCAGATATGTCTTACAAGAAACACTAATGTAATACTAAAGTAAGTTCTTCAGACTGAGAAGAAATGACACCAGATAATAATCCCAATCCAATGAAAAACAATTATTGTATGTCAATTAAAGATAAAACTTGTAGCTAGGCACAGTGGCGCACACCTGTAATCCCAGCTACTTGGGAGGCTGAGGCACAAGAATCACTTGAACCCAGCAGGTGGAGTCTGCAGTGAGCCAAGATCACACCACTGTAGTCCAGCCTGGGCAACAGAGCAAGACTCCATCTCAAAAATATTACATTAAAAAAAGTAAAATTTGTAAAAGAAACAAACAGCATCAGAAAAAATAATATGTTGGTAATTATTTTTTAAAAACTAAAAACTAAAAACTACAAATCTCTTCTTTTTCTTTTTCTTTTTTGAGAGACAAGGTCTCACTCTCTCACCCAGGATGGAGTGCAGTGGTTTGACCATCGCTCACTGCAGCCTCAAATCCTGGACTCAAGTGATCCCCTCACCTCAGCCTCCTCCTGAGTAGCTGGGACTACAGATGCACACCGCCATGCCTGGCTCCTTTTCATTTCTTAACTGTTTTAAAAGAAATTACATAAAACAACAATTATAAAATTACAGTGTTGGGTTTGTAACATCTAAAGATAATGTGTGTGTATATATGCACTCACACACATATGACAATAATGGTACAAAGGATAGGGAAAAGATGGAGTTACATTGAAACAAAGGAACCACATCAGATTGTAAGTCCAATCCACAAGAACAAATCATCAGAAACACTAAATAAGTTTCATACGAAAAACTTTAAGTGTATTTTACTAATTTCTTCTCTTAATTTTTTAAAAGACGTAGAATTTGGCTGGGCACAGTGGCTGACGCCTGTATTCCCAGCACTTTGGGAGGCCGAGGTGGGTGGATCACCTGAGTTCAGGAGTTCCAGACCAGCCTGGGAAACAGGGCAAAACCCCGTCTCTACTAAAAATACAAAAATTAGCTGGGCATGGTTGTGCTCACCTGAAATCCCAGTTACTCAGGAGGCTGAGTTGGGAGGATCTCTTGAGCCTAGAAAGCAGACGTTGCAGTGAGCCGAGATCATGCCACTTCACTCCAGCCTGGAGTACATCCCTACACCCCCTCAGGTTCAGTCTGAACTGAACAGGGGATACCTGTGAAAGGAAAATAAATCTTGGGGCCCGAAAATCACTAAGCTAAAGGGAAAAGTCAAGTTGGGAACTGCTGAGAGCAAACCTACGTCTCATTCTATTCGGTCACTCCTCTGCTTACTGAGATAAATGCTATCTGATTGCCTCCTTTGGAGAGGCTAATCAGAAACTCAAAAGAGGCCGGGCACAGTGGCTCACACCTGTAATCCTAGCACTTTGGGAGGCCGAGGCGGATGGATCACCCGAGGCCAGGAGTTCGAGACCAGCCTGGCCAACATGGTGAAACCCCGTCTCTACTAAAAATACAAAAATTAGCTCAGCGTGGTGGCACATGCCTGTAATCCCAGCTATTCGGGAGGCTGAGGAATGAGAATCGCTTGAACCTGGGAGGTGGAGGTTGCAACAAGCCAAGATCGCACCACTGCACTCCAGCCTGTGCAACAGGAGCGAGCCTCCATCTCAAAAAAAAAGAAACTCAAAAGAAAGTAACCATTTGTCTCTTATCTACCTATGACCTGGAAGCCCCCTCGCCACTTGGAGTTGTCCCACCATTGCTTCAAGTTGTCCCGCCTTTCCAGACCGAACCAATGTTAATCTTACATATGTTGATTGATGTCTCATGTCTCCCTAAAATGTATAAAACCAAGCTGTGCCCTGACCAACTTGGGCACATGTCATCAGGACTTCCTAAGGCTGTGTCACCGACACACATCCTCAACCCTGACAACATAAACTTTCTAAATTAACTGAGACCTGTCTCAGATATTCAGGGTTCACACTCCCCTGGACCCCCTGACTTTCTTCAGGGCACTGGCCACTTTCTTGTCTGTCTTTGGACACTCTCCTCTAGAAGTCTTTGAAATTCTTGAGGCAGGAAGGACCAATTCCCAGCCCTGAATCTTGCATAAAGTGGGTCCTTTTTAAATGGAAATACGGCTACTCCTCAAAGGAAGGCTAGGAATTTTGCTCTGTGTGACCCTAGTCGTAGTTCTTCACAGAGGGCTCCATTTCACTTGCCTTTCCTTCTGCTTTTTTCTTCACTCGTTTCCCCACAGAGCAAGACAAAAGAAGCCGGCAAGGATGGCTCTGGTCAGGGTCTGCCTTCAGCCACCCAAATGGGATTGCAAAGAGGAGGACAGGGATGGAAAGGGGAAAGTTTGATTTGGTTTGGTTTGCTTAGTCTTTCTATTGGTACCACTTCCTTATCCCAACCTCATCATCTTCCCCGATCCCTACCAACCCACTGCAGGCATATGAGCCCTAAAATCTGGGAAAGGCTTTTTTCCCTAGGGGCCCTGGCCTCACAGACTTGCCCAGGGGGGTAAATTCTCAGTGGCTCAGTGGCACGTGCCTCACGTCCTCACCGGCAGCCTAGATAGATAGATAGATAGATAGATAGATAGATAGATGATAGATAGATATATAGTTTTTTTTTTTTTTTTTTTTTTGAGACGGAGTTTCGCTCTTGCCGCTGCCCAGGCTATAGTGCAATGGCGCCATCTCGGCTCACCGCAACTTCCGCCTCCCAGGTTCAAGCGATTCTCCTGCCTCAGCCTCCCGAGTAGCTTGTATTACAGGCATGCGCCACCACACCCGGCTAATTTTGTATTTTTAGTAGAGAGGGGGTTTCTCCATGTTGTTCAGGCTGGTCTCGAACTCCCAACCTCAGGTGATCCGCCTGTCTTGGCCTCTCAAGTGCTGGGATTACAGGGGTGAGCCACCGCGCCCAGCCGGGAGCCCCTATTTTAAGGACGCTATTGCTGTGGAGGAGTAACCCCACTTTTAGGAATCCTTTTCCGTGCGAAAGGCTGTTTGAGATCAGGCGCAACAACTTCTCCCGCTCAGGTTACCCTCAGAAAGGCTATGGACCCCGGACTCCGCCCCAGATTGCATAACAACTGAGGGGTGGGTCCCTATTTCCTCTCTGGGATCTGTAGCCAATCATTCACGAGGTAAACAGAACGACCGAGTTTCTCTCAGCCGAGAACTGTGGCTGCCCCTCCGGTGAAAACAGAGGAAGTGGGAGCGGCAGGAAGCGCTTTGGGACCAGGGCGACCCCTGAAGCGTAGAGGAACCAGGTCACAAGCATACGTGAATGCTCACATTCCATAGTTATCAAATGTATTCAGGTTTAAATTTTACTTTTCTAGAAAAAATGTAAATAATCCGTTGAGAATATTTAATGAAAAATGTTGGTCGTATCTTTATCTGGTCTGCGGCTCTGTCCCTGTTTCCTGGATAGGAGACTACGTCTGTATCTTGTATCACAGGAGGCACCTTCTTCCTGTTTCCTGGCACAGACTTGTAAGTGAATTTCCTGCCCGCCTCCGCCCACAGCGTAAGCCGCGCTGGAACAGCTCACTTATTGCCCCAGATGTATGTGGAGTAACCGCCTTCAGTTTCCTGGTTCTGAGTTTCCGTGTTACTCAAGCAATGCTTCTGCTGAATTTGTCTTTTTTTTTTTTTTGAGACAGAGTCTTGCTTTGTCGCCCAGACTGGAGTGAAATGGCGTGGTCTCGGCTCACTGCAGCCTCCACCTCCTGGGTTCAAGCGAGTCTCCTGCCTCAGCCTCCTGAGTGTGCAACTTATCTTTTTATTTTATTTATTTATAATTTTTTGGCTAATTTTGGCTATTTTGTGTCTGTGTGTGTATTTTTAGTAGACATGGGGTTTCACCATGTTGGGCAGGCTGGTCTCGAACTCCTGACCTCAGGTGATCCGCCCACCTCGGCCTCCCAAAGTGCTGGAATTACAGGCGTGAGCCACCGCACCTGGCCTATTTATTTATTTATTTATTTGTGACTGAGTCTCGCTCTGTCACCCAAGCTGGAATGCAATGGCGTGATCTCGGCTCACTGCTACCTCCACGCCCCAAGTTTAAGCAATTCTCCTGCCTCAGCCTCCCGAGTAGCTGGGACTACAGGTGTGCACCACCACATCCAGCTAATTTTTTGTATTTTTAGTAGAGATGGGGTTTCACCATGTTGGTCAGGCTGGTCTCGAACTCCTGACCTCAAGCGATCCACCCACCTTGGCCTCCCAAAGTGTTGGGATACAGGCGTGAGCCACTGCACCTGGTTGAATTTCTCCTTTTAATTGGAGGTTTCATTTTATTTTTCTTTATTTATTTTTTTGAGACGAAGTTGCACTCTTGTTGCCCAGGCTAGAGTGCAGTGGCGCGATCTGGGTTCACTGCAACCTCTGCCTCCCAGATGCAAGTGATTCTCCTGCCTCAGCCTCCTGAGTAGCTGGGAATACAAGCACCCACCACCATGCCCAGTTAATTTTTGTACTTTTAGTAGAGACAAGGTTTTGCCATGTTGGCCAGGGTGGTCTCAAACTCCTGAGCTCGTGATCTGCCCACCTCAGCCTCCCAAAGTGCTGGGATTACAGGCGTGAGCCACCGTGCCTGGTCTCGTTCTTTATTTTTTATTTTATTTTTTGACACCAGATCTGCTCTGTTACTCAGGCTAGAGTGCAGTGGCATTGAGAGGTGACAACCTGCTAGCAGCCCTTGCTTGCTCTTGGCGCCTCCTCGGCCTCGGTGTCTGCTCTGGCCGGGCTCGAGGAGCCCTTCAGCCCACTGCTGTGCTGTGGGGGCCCCTCTCTGGGGCTGGCTGAGGCCGGAGCCGTCTCCCTCTGCTTGGGGGGAGGTGTGGAGGGAGAGACGCCAGTGGGAACAGGGGCTGCGCGTGGTGCTCCCGGGCCAGTGGTGTTCCGGGTGGGTGCGGGCTAGGCAGGCCCTGCACTGGGGGCAAGGTTGGCGTCGCCTGCTGGGCTTGATGGGGGGGTGGGGGAGGAGCGCCCTCTGGGCTGCCGGAGTGCCCCACTAGGCGCGGCAAAGTCCCGGGAGTGCCATTGAGAGGTGAAGCCAGCTGGGCTTCTGGGTCTGGTGGGGACTTGGAGAACTTTTGTGTCTAGCTAAAGGATTGTAAATGCACCAATCAGCACTCTGTGTCTAGCTAAAGGATTGTAAACACACCAATCAGCACTCTGTGTCTAGGTAAAGGATTGTAAACGCACCAATCAGCACTCTGTGTCTAGCTAAAAGTTTGTAAATGCACCAATCACCACTCTGTGTCTAGCTAATCTGGTGGGGATTTAGAGAACTTTTGTGTCTAGCTAAAGGATTGTAAACTCACCAATCAGCACTCTGTGTCTAGCTAAAGGATTGTAAACACACCAATAAGCACTCTGTCAAAACGGACCAATCAGCTTTCTGTAAAATGAACCAATCAGCTCTCCGTAAAATGGACCAATCAGCTCTCTGTAAAATAGAACAATCAGCAGGATGTGGGTGGGGCCGGATGGGGGAATAAAAGCAGGCCACCCAAGCCAGCGGCGGCAACGTGCTCGGGTCCTCTTCCACACCGTAAAAGCTGCTTTGTTCTTTTGCTTTTTGCAGTAAATCTTAGTGCTCCTCACTCTTTGCGTCTACGCTGCTTTTATGAACTGTTAACACTCACTGTGAAGGTCTGCAGCTTCACTCCTTAAGCCAGCGAGACCACAAACCCACTGGGAGGGATAAACAACTCCAGACGGGAGGAACAAACAACTTCGGGTGCACCACCTTTATGAACTGTAGCACTCACTGTGAAGGTCTGCAGCTTCACTCCTGAGGCCAGCAAGACCACGAACCCACCAGAAGGAACGAACAACTCCAGATATGCCACCTTTAAGGGCTATAACACTCACCGCGGAAGTCTGCAGCTTCACTCCTGAAGTCAGTGAGACCATGAACCCACCAGAAGGAAGAAACTCTGGACACATCTGAACATCTGAAGGAACAAACTCTGGACACACCATCTTTAAGAACTGTAACACTCACCGCGAGGGTACACGGCTTCATTCTTGAAGTCAGCGAGACTAAGAACCCAACAATTCCGGACACAGCATGATCTTGGTTCACTACAACCTGGATCTCCCAGAGTCAAGCAATCCTCTCGTCTCAGTCTCCCAAGTAGCTGGAACTACAGGTGTGTGCCACCATGCCCCACTAATTTTTGTATTTATTGTAGAGACGGTTTCAGCATGTTGCCCAGGCTGGTCTCCAACTCCTGGACTCAAGTGATCCTCTCCACCTAGGCCTCCCACAGTGCTGGGATTACAGGAATGAGCCACCACGCCCGGCCTAATTGGAAGTTTTAGAGTGCAGTGGGGATCACGTGCGTAGAGGTTACTGCTGCCTTAATTAAAGGAGACAACATGTTTCATAAAACTTGGAAATTGTAGAGGGTGTGGGGAACCACTCAAATTCAGAATATCAAAACAGAACTTTATTTTTTGTGTATTTGTTGCCAATCTTTTTCCCTACATATGTAATGTTTGTTTGTTTGACATGACTACCATTTCTGTTTTCATAATATGTTTAATACTTTTCCTCCACTTAACAAACATGGCTACGATTTGCCAAGTTGCTGATCATCCTTTTTTTTTTTTTTTCGAGACAGAGTTTCACCCTTGTTGCCCAGGCTGGAGTGCAGTGGCAGATCTCAGCTCACTACAACCTCTGCCTGCTGGGTTCAAGTGATTCTCCAGCCTCAGCCTCCCAAGTAGCTGGGATTACAGGTACCCGCCACCACTCCTGGCTAACTTTTGTATTTTTAGTAGAGACAGAGTTTTGTCAGGTTGGCCAGGCTGGTCTCAAACTCCTGACCTCCAGAGATCCACCCGCTTCAGCCTCCCAAAGTGCTGGGATAACAGGCGTGAGCCACTGAACCTGGCCCAGATCATCCTTTTAAGTGTTCTTTTTCATTTGTAGGTTTAACATTGGCTTTGGGGTGAGAAAGAAACCAAGACTCACCCAGAGTCATAAGCCCAACAAGAGAATGGGTCTGTCTGGGCTAGCCCTGGGCTACTGGATGAGCAGGGTTGGCCTTTTCATTCTCTGAGTCTTCGTTTCTCTGGCCTTTACATTTCTCTGGAGGGACTTTTCATTTTCTCTGGAAACCAACTCCAAGTGCACTTTTCCAGAAGGCATTTTTGTAATGCCTGGTTGGCTGCATGCGACCTCTGGTTTTCCTCCTTCACCCTTTCCTGCTCAGTCACTGCATTTTCTGTTCTCAAAAGAACCCTCTCATATAGCACGTGCAGAGAGCAGTAGCGAGTCAGGCTGTCCCGCGGTGTGTGTCCGGACTCCTGTGTGCTCTGGCAGTGGGGCCAGTGGGCTGGGAAGAGTTGCAGGAGAAACCCAGTGGGAGAGAAAGACTCCAACCTGGGAACCTCGGGGCATCTGGTAGCGCCAGAATGACTTTCCAAAATTTTGGTTGGGGCAGTCACAGGCCCCTGCTCGCCACGGTGGCCTCTGGCAAAGAAACACATGTGGGGCAGACAAGAGGGATGCTCGCCAATCTCCTCTGAATTTTGCAACCCTGTGTGTTAAAAACAGGTATTTCTGGTCTTTAAAGACACTTGGAAAAGACAGACTTGTTGAATACTTAGAAAGGCCAAGCCACAGCCAGAAGCTTGGTGTCTGGGATCCATCATCTCTAAGGTTTTAAAAGCATCTTGCTGGAATAGGAACAGCTCCGGTCTGCAGCTCTCAGCAAGACCAACACAGAAGATGGGTGATTTCTGCATTTCCAGCTGAGGTACCTGGTTCATCTCATTGGGACTAGTTGGACAGTGGGTGCAGCCCATGGAGGGCGAGCCAAAGCAGGGCAGGGCATCGCCTCACCTGGGAAGTGCAAGGGGTCAGGGGATTTCCCTTTCCTAGCCAAGGGAAGCCGTGACAGACTGTACCTGGAGGAACAGTACACTCCTGCCCAAATACTGGGCTTTTCCCATGGTCTTCACAACTGACAGACCAGGAGATTCCCTCCCGTGCCTGGCTCGGTGGGGCTCATGCCCATGGATCCTTGCTTACTGCCAGTGCAGCAGTCTTAAGATTGGCCTGGCATGCTGCAGCTTGTTGGGGGGGTGGGAGGGCGTCCGCCATTCCTGAGGCTTGAGTAGGCAGTTTTATGCTCACAGTGTAAACAGGCCGGGAAGCTTGAACTGGGTGGAGCCCACTGCAGCTCAGCAAGGCCTACTGCCTCTCTAGATTCCACCTCTGTGGGCAGGGCATGTCAGAACAAAAGGCAGCAGACAGCTTTGGCAGACCTAAACGCCCCTGTCTGACAGTTCTGAAGAGAGCAGTGGTTCTCCCAGCATGGCATTTGAGCTCCGAAAATGGACAGACTGCCTCCTCAAGTCGGTCCTTGACCCCCGTGTACCCTGACTGGGAGACACCTCCCAGTAGGGGCCAACAGACACCTCACACAGGCAGGTGCCCCTCTGGAACAAAGCTTCCAGAGGAAGGATCAGGCAGCAATATTTGCTGTTCTGCAGCCTCCGCTAGTGATATCCAGGCAAACAGGGTCTGGAGTGGACCTCCAGCAAATTCCAACAGACCTGCAGCTGAGGGTCCTGACTGTTAGAAGGAAAACTAACAAACAGAAAGGAATAGCATCAACACCAACAAAAAGGACATCCACACCAAAACCCCATCTGTAGGTCACCAACATCAAAGACCAAAGGTAGAAAAAACCACAAAGATGGGAAGAAACCAGAGCAGAAAAGCTGAAAATTCCAAAAACCAGATTGCCTCTTCTCCTCCAAAGGATCACAGCTCCTCACCAGCAAGGGAACAAAACTGGATGGAGAATGAGTTTGACAAGTTGACAGAAGTAGGCTTCAGAAGGTTGGTAACAAACTTCTGCGAGCTAAAGGAGGATGTTCAAACCCATCGCAAGGAAGCTGAAAACCTTGAAAAAAGGTTAGACAAATGGCTAACTAGAATAAACGGTATAGAGAAGACCTTAAATGACCTGATGGAGCTGAAACCCATGGCACGAGAACTACATGACTCATGCACAAGCTTCAGTAGCTGATTCAATCAAGTGGAAGAAAGGGTATCAGTGATTGAAGATCAACTCAATGAAATAGAGCAAGAAGACAAGATTAGAGAAAAAAGAATGAAAAGAAATGAACAAAGCCTCCAAGAAATATGGGACTATGTGAAAAGACCAAATCTACATTTGACTGGTGTACCTGAAAGTGACGGGGAGAATGGAACCAAGTTACAAAATACTCTTCAGGATGTTATCCAGGAGGACTTCCCTAACCTAGCAAGGCAGGAAAACATTCAAATTTAGGAAATACAAAGAACACCACAAAGATACTTCTTAAGAAGAGCAACTCCAAGACACACAATTGTCAGATTCACCAAGGATGAAATGAAGGAAAAAATGTTAAGGGCAGCCAGAGAGAAAGGTCGGGTCACCCACAAAGGGGAGCCCATCAGACTAACAGCGGATCTCTCAGCAGAAACCTTACAAGCCAGAAGAGAGTGGGGGCCAATATTCAACATTTTTAAGAAAAGAATTTTCAAACCAGAATTTCATATCCAGCCAAACTAAGCTTCATAAGTGAAGGAGAAATAAAATCCTTTACAGACAAGCAAATGTTGAGAGATTTTGTCACCACCAGGCCTGCTTTACAAGAGCTCCTGAAGGAAGCACTAACCATGGAAAGGAACAACTGGTATCAGCCACTGCCACTGCAAAAACATGCCAAAGTGTAAAGACCATTGACACTATGAAGAAACTGCATCAATTAATGGGCAAAATAACCAGCTAACATCATAGTGACAGGATCAAATTCACCCATAACAATATTAATCTTAAATGTAAATAGGCTAAATGCCCCAACTGAAAAACAGACTGACAAATTGGATAAAAAGTCAAGACCCATCGTTGTACTGTATTCAGGAGACCCATTTCATGTGCAAAGATACAAATAGGCTCAAAATAAAGGGATGGAGGAAGATCTACCGAGCAAATGGAAAGCAAAAAAAAAATCAGGGGTTGCAATCCTCGTTTCTGACTAAAAAAAAAAAAAAAGATTTCAAACCAACAAAGATCAAAAGAGAGAAAGAAGGGCATTACATAATGGTAAAGGGATCAATTCAATAAGAAGAACTAACTATCCTAAATACATATGCACCCCAAACAGGAGCACCCAGATTCATAAAGCAAGTCCTTGGAGACCTACAAAGAGATTTAGACTCCCACACAGTAATAATGGGAGACTTTAATACCCCACTGTCAATATTAGACAGATCAATGAGACAGAAGGTTAACAAGCATATCCAGGACTTGAACTCAGCTCTGGACCAAGGGGACCGAATAGACATCTACAGAACTCTCCACCCCAAATCAACAGAATATACATTCTTCTCAGCACCACATCACGCTTATTCTAAAATTGACCACATAATTGGAAGTAAAACACTCCTCAGCAAATATAAAAGAACAGAAATCACAACAAACTGTCTGTCAGACCACAGTGCAATCAAATTAGAACTCAGGATTAAGATTCACTCAAAACTGCACAACTACATGGAAATTGAACTACCTGCTCCTGAATGACTACTGGGTAAATAATGAAATGAAGGCAGAAATAAAGATGTTGTTTGAAACCAATGAGAACAAAGACACAACATACCAGAATCTCTGGGACACATTTAAAGCAGTGTGTAGAGGGAAATTTAGAGCACTAAATGCCCACAAGAGAAAGCAGGAAAGATCTAAAATCAACACCCTAACATCACAATTAAAAGAACTAGAGAAGCAAGAGCAAACACATTCAAAAGCTAGCAGAAGGCAAGAAATTACTAAGATCAGAGCAGAACTGATGGAGATAGAGACACAAAAAACCCTTCCAAAAAATCAGTGAATCTAGGAGCTGGTTTTTTGAAAAGATCAACAAAATTGATAGACTGCTAGCAAGACTAATAAAGAAGAAAAGAGAGAAGAATCAAATAGACACAATAAAAAATGATAAAGGGGACATCACCACCAATCCCTCAGAAATACAAACTACCATCAGGAATACTATAAACACCTCTACACGAATAAACTAGAAAATCTAGAAGAAATGAATAAATTCCTGGACACATACACCCTCCCAAGACTAAACCAGGAAGAAGTTGAATCCCTGAATAGACCAATAACAGGCTCTGAAATTGAGGCAATAATTAATAGCCTACCAACCAAAAAAAGTCCAGGACCAGACGGATTCACAGCCAAATTCTACTGGAGGTACAAAGAGGAGTTGGTACCATTCCTTCGGAAACTATTCCAATCAATAGAAAAAGAGAGAATCCTCCCTAACTCATTTCATGAGAACAGCATCATCCTGATACCAAAGCCTGGCAGAGACACAACAAAAAAAGAAAATTTAAGCCAATATCCCTGATGAACATCAATGCAAAAATCCTCAATAAAATACTGGCAAACGAAATCCAGCAGCACATCAAAAAGCTTATCCACCATGATCAAGCCGGCTTCATCCCTGGGATTCAAGGCTGGTTCAACATATGCAAATCAATAAATGTAATCCATCACATAAACAGAACCAACGACAAAAACCACATGATTATCTCAATAGATGTAGAAAAGGCCTTCGACAAAAATTCAACAACCCTTCATGCTAAAAACTCTCAATAAACTATGTATTGATGACATATTTCAAAATAATAAGAGCTATTTATGACAAACCCACAGTCAATATCATACTGAATGGGCAAAAACTGGAAGCATTCCCTTTGAAAATTGGCACAAGACAAGGATGCCCTCTCTCACCACTCCTAGTCAACATAGTGGTGGAAGTTCTGGCCAGGGCAATCAAGCAAGAGAAAGAAATAAAGGGTATTCAATTAGGAAAAGAGGAAGTCAAATTGTCTCTGTTTGCAGATGACATGACTGTATATTTAGAAAACACCATCATCTCAGCCCAAAATCTCCTTAAGCTGATAAGCAACTTCAGCAAAGTCTCAGGACACAAAATCATTGCACAAAAATCACAAGTATTCCTATATACCAATAACAGACAAACAGAGAGCCAAATCATGAATGGACTCCCATTCACAATTACTACAAAGAAAATAAAATACCTAGGAATCCAACTTACAAGGGATGTGAAGGACCTCTTCAAGGAGAACTACAAACCACTGCTCAACAAAATAAAAGAGGACAAACAAACGGAAGAACATTCTATGCTCATGGATAGGAAGAATCAATATCGTGAAAATGGCCATACTGCCCAAGGTAATTTATAGATTCAATGCCATCCCCATCAAGCTACCAATGACTTTCTTCACAGAATTGGAAAAAACTACTTTAAAGTTCATATGGAACAAAAAAAGAGCCCACATTGCCAAGACAATCCTAAGCAAAAAGAACAAAGCTGGAGGCAGCACGCTACCTGACTTCAAACTATAGTACAAGACTACAGTAACCAAAACAGCATGGTAGTGGTACCAAAACAGATATATAGACAAATGGAACAGAACAGAGGCCGCAGAAATAACACCACACATCTACAACCATCTGATCTTTGACAAACCTGACAAAAACAAGCATGGGGAAAGGATTTCCTGTTTAATAAATGGTGCTGGGAAAACTGGCTAGCCATATGTAGAAAGCTGAAACAGGATCCCTTCCTTACACTTTATACAAAAATTAACTCAAGATGTATTAAAGACTTAAACATAAGACCTAAAACCATAAAAACCCTAGAAGAAAACCTAGGCAATACTATTCAGGACATAGGCATGGATAAATGCTTCATGACTAAAACACCAAAAGCAATGGCAACAAAAGCCAAAATAGACAAATGGGATCTAATTAAACTAAAGAGCTTCTGCACAGCAAAAGAAACTATCATCACAGTGAACAGGCAACCTACAGAATGGGGAAAAATTTTGCAATCTACCCATCTGGCAAAGGGCTAATATCCAGAAGCTACAAAGAACTTAAACAAATTTACAACAAAAAAATCAAACAACCCCATCAACAAGTGGGCGAAGGATATGAACAGACACTTCTCAAAAGAAGACATTTATGCAGCCAAAAGACATATGAAAAAATGCTCATCATCACTGGTCACCAGAGAAATGCAAATCAAAACCACAATGAGATGCCATCTCACGCCAGTTAGAATGGTGATCATTAAAAAGTCAGGAAACAACAGATGCTGGAGAGGATGTGGAGAAATAAGAACACTTTTACACTGTTGGTGGGAGTGTAAATCAGTTCAACCATTGTGGAAGACAATGCAGCGATTCCTCAAGGATCTAGAACTAGAAATACCATTTGACCCAGCCATCCCATTACTGGGTATATACCCAAAGGATTATAAATCATGATAAGGACACATGCACATGTATGTTTATTGCGGCACTAGTCACAGTAGCAAAGACTTGGAACCAACCCAGATGTCCATCAATGATAGACTGGATTAAGAAAATGTGGCACATATACACCGTGGAATACTATGCAGCCATAAAAAAGGATGAGTTCATGTCCTTTGCAGGGACATGGATGAAGCTGGAAACCATCATTCTCAGCAAACTATCACAAGGACAGAAAACCAAACACTACATGTTCTCACTCATAAGTGGGAGTTGAACAATGAGAATACACAGACACAGGGCAGGGAACATCACACACCGAGGCCTGTGGGGGGGTTGGGGGTTAGGGAAGGGATAGCATTAGGAGAACTACCTAATGTAAATCACCAGTTGATGGGTGCAGCAAACCACCATGGCACAGGTATACCTATGTAACAAACATGCATGTTGTGCACATGTACCCCAGATCTTAAAGTATAATAAAATAAAAAATAAAAAAAATCTTCCCTACTTTTTAAACTGTATGTTGCTTTGTAGCAATACATTATGCACATTATAAAGTGTTTTAATTAGAAATTTTAGAAGATATGATAAAGAAAAATAATTTAAATAACAATTTTTATTCAAAATACAAATAATAGGGCTGGGCGCGGTGGCTGACGCCTGTAATCCTAGCACTTTGGCAGGCCGAGGCGGGCAGATCACGAGGTCAGGAGTTCAAGACCAGCCTGGCCAACATGGTGAAACCCTGTCTCTACTAAAAATACAAAAAATTAGCTGGGCGTAGTGGCGGGTGCCTGTAATCCCAGCTACTCGGGAGACTAAGGCACAAGAATCGCTTGAACCCGGGAGGCGGAGGTTGCAGTGAGCCGAGATCGCACCACTGCACTCCAGCCTAGGCGACAGAGTGAGACTGTGTCTCAAAAAAGAAAAAAAAAGAAAAGAAAAGAAAAAGAAAAAAGAATATTTTGCCCTTATAACATTATTAATTATATACTTTCAAGTGAGAGCAATATGACTAATTATGCTTAATTATTTTTGAAAATGATGCTTTAACAATTTGTAATGCAGACATTTGATGGTCTGGTTCTATGTTGAGTTCATGTTGATACTTGGTCTTAAGGACAGTTAGAGCTGATAAAAATAACTTGTGCATAGACCAGGCGCGGTGGCTCACGCCTGTAATACCAGCACTTTGGGAGTCTGAGGCGGGCGGATCACGAGATCAGGAGATGGAGACCATCCTGGCTAACACGGTGAAGCCCCGTCTCTATTAAAAATACAAAAAAAATTAGCCAGGTGCGGTGGCAGGCACCTGTAGTCCCAGCTACTTGGAAGGCTGAGGCAGGAGAATGGTGTGAACCTTGCAGTGAGCCGAGATCACGCCACTGCACTACAGCCTGGGCAACAGAGCGAAACCCCGTCTCAAAAAAAAAAAAAAAGAAAGAAAAAAAAAAGAAATAACTTCTGCACACATCATAACATTCATACATAATGAATCATTGATATACTCATTAAAATGTGACTCATCCAGGAAAATCCCATCCCTAAATTATTTAAAGTTTTTGTTTTCCCTCAGCTACTATTTCTGTTCTACCTTATGCAAACTAATGAGAAACCATTGTCCCAAGACTGGTGGCCTCCTGGCATGGTTGTGCAACAGCTGTTGTCAAACTCCAGAGTCTAAAGTGCACCACGAAAGCCAGATGGCAGGCCAGATCCAGCCTCCCTGCTAAATGAAATGTTCACTGGCCAGGGAGAAACAACCACGTGGAAAATTAAATAAACCCATGACATTTGTAGCCAGCAGCTCGGGTGTTTTGTAGGGTTTTCCCTGAGAAGTGGGGACTAATCGCATGAATCACTTTTTTTTTCTTTTTAGAGTCTTATCTATTTGTGAATAAATGTTTCCAATTAAAGCATTGCTACTAAGCCTCAGTTTTCTCACCTCTACCATGGAGTTAAAATGTCTACTTCACACTGTCCATAAAAGAATTAAGATGGCCGGGCGCGGTGGCTCACGCCTGTAATCCCAGCACTTTGGGAGGCCGAGGCGGACGGATCACGAGGTCAGGAGATCGAGACCATCCTGGCTAACACAGTGAAACCCCGTCTCTACTAAAAATATGAAAAACTAGCCTGGCGTGGTGGTGGACGCCTGTAGTCCCAGCTACTCAGGAGGCTAAGGCAGGAGAATGGCGTGAACCCAGGAGGCGGAGCTTGCAGTGAGCCTAGATTGTGCCACTGCACTCCAGCCTGGGCGACAGAGCAAGACTCCGTCTCAAAAAAAAAAAAAAAAAAAAAAAAAAAAAAAAAAAAAGCCAGGCATGGTTGGTGGCTCACACCTGTAATCTCAGAACTTTGGGAAACAGGCAGGATCACTTCAGCCCAGAAGTGTGGGACCAGTCTGGGCAACATAGTGAGATCCTGTCTCTTAAAAAAAAAAAGAAAAGAATCAAAATAAAACAAGAAAACAAAAACACAGAACAAGTGCATCATCATAGTGGTGACAATTTTTAGGAAACTTTTTTTGTTTTTTTCTGTGTGAACCTAACTCATCTAATAAGGGAGTGTGTGAACATTTCCATGTTGGTCCATTTTTTATGTGCCTAAATGGACAAAGTCACCCAGGACCTGGCTGCTGGACTCATCCTTAGGAAGAATAAAGAAAAAGGAAGTTTATCTCTAGCATCTTTCTCTTGCCCTTGTTTTCTTCCTGGCCACAGTCATGCCCTGGATTTCAGTGTCTCTAAACATCTAGCAGCCTCTCACCCAGCATAACCCCTGTTGAGGTCCAGGGCACGATGGTGGGAGTGGGTGCAGAAGAGACAGAGAGACCACTGGTTTGAGTGTCTAGGGTTTGGGTCCTCAGGAAGAACTTGGCCCGGCGCGGTGGCTCACGCCCGTAATCCAAACACTTCGGAGACCGAGGCGGTTGGATCACCTGAGGTCAGGAGTTTGAGACCAGCCTGGCCAACATGGTGAAACAACGTCTCTACTAAAAATACAAAAAATTAGCCAGGCGTGGTGGCAGGCACCTGTAATCCCAGCTACTCAGGAGCTTGAGGCAGGAGAATCACCTGAACTCGGGCCGCGGAGGTTGCAGTGAGCCGAGATTGCGCCAGTGCACTCCACCCTGGGCAACAAGAGTGAAACTCCGTCTCAAAAAAAGAAAAAAAAAGAAGAAGAACTTCTTGACTTGACTCAGCAGGACTTTTTCCATGGGTCTAAAGCTAGGTGTGAAGAGAGTGAGCTCGTGGTGAGAGGAACTTGTTCATCAAAAGGAGTCCATGCCCAGTGGCAGAAGTGGAGAGGTGGGTATGGGACACACAGGGAAGCTGCTCTCTTCTGTTGTCTGTGGCTTCTGTTGGAGGATGTGCTGTGGGAATGCAAGGAGGAGATGGAAGGAAGGTGTCAATATAGCTTTAACAAAGGAAAAAAAAATGAAAACACCGAAACCACCCTTGCAAAAATTGTAACAGTGAGAAAATTATGACATTGAAAGATATCCAATCTAACCCAACTCCTTCTTGCCTTTAACCTCCAAATTGCACTTAGTCATTCCTGAGCAAAGGCCAAGCTAACTTTGGGAGAAATTTCGTTTACAGTTTAAATGATAATAGCCCTTCCCAAAACTAACCTGTCTTTGTAAAAATGATGAAAGGCCACCAGGTTAGGGAGGATGAGAGGGGCCTGAATGCAGGCTTAGATAAACAATTACCCGCCATTGTTTCAGAGGTCACAAGATTTGTAACTTCCCCAATTAGTCCTGTAAAATGATATCACTGTGGCCTTTTGAGATGTCTTTGCAGTTATTTTTTGTTTTGTTTGCTTTGAGACAAGGTCTTGCTCTGTCACCAAGGCTGGAGTGCAGTGATCATAGCTCACTGCAGTCTCTATCTCCTGGGCTCAAGTGAACCTTCCACCTCAGCCTTCCAAGTAGCTGGGACTGCAGGTGCATGCCACCATGCCTGGCCAGTTTTGTTGTTTTTTGGTTCTGGGGTGTTTTTTGCTTGTTTGTTTGTTTTGTTTTTGTATTTTTAGTAGACATGATGTCTGGCTCTGTTGTTCAGGCTGGTCTCAAACTCCTGGACTCAAGCGATCCTCCTGCCTCAGCCTCCCAAACTGCTGGGGTTACAGGCACGAGCCACCTTGCCCAGCTCAGGCTTTTCCATTTTGGAAAACCAGATGACTCCACCCAGATCCAAGACCGGTCCTATGGCCCCACTCAGAAGTGGACTCAGTGCACGAGGACCATTTTCCACATCCCTATGATTGCATCCCAATCAATCAGCAGCACCCATTCCCTAGCCACCTGCCCAGCAAACTATCTTTTTTTTTCTTTTTTTCTTGAGACTCTGTCGCCCAGGCTGTAGTGCAGTGGTGCAATCATGGCTCACAGCAGCTTCAACCTCCCTGGCCCAGCCTCCCAAGTCACTGGGACTACAGGTGTACACCACCACACCTGGCTAATTTTTAAATTTTTTGTAGAGATGGTGTCTTGCTGTGTTGTCCAGGCTGATCTCAAACTCAAGGACTCAAGCAATCCTCCTACCTCAGACTCGAAAAGTGCTGGGATTACAGGTGTAAGCTGCCATGCCCAACCCAAACTATCTTGAAAAAGCCTTCAAATTTGAGAGGAGGCTGATATAAGTAATAATAAGACTTCAGTCTCCTGTTTAACTGGCTCTATGTATATAAAACTCTTTCTCTATTGCAATTCCCCTGTCTTCATAAATTGGCTCTATCTGAGCAGCAGGCAAAATGAACCAATTGGGTGGTTACAACAGTATCAGCATATACAGTAGAATTGTAATATCCATCATATACCAACTGCAAATTAATTTTAAAAGATATATTGTTAAAACCATATAAGTGATATAAGTAATTTACAGAAGAATAAATTCAATTGAACAATAAATATGAAATTATTTTCAACCCCTCCAGTCATATAGTAAAAGTAAATTAAAACTTTTTTTTTTTTTAGACAGAGTCTCACTCTGTCGCCCAGGGTGGAGTGCAGTGGCGCGATCTCAGCCCACCGAAACCTCTGCCTCCTGGGTTCAAGCGATTCTCCTGCCTCAGCCTCCTGAGTAGCTGGGATTACAGGCGCCCGCCACCATGCCCGGCTAATTTTTGTATTTTTAGTAGAGACGAGGTTCCACCATGTTGGCCAGGCTGGTCTCGAACTCCTGATCTCAAGTGATCCATCAACCTTGGCCTCCCAAAATGCTGGGATTACAGGCATGAGCCACTGCACCCAGCTTAAAACAATGTTTTAACCTCTTGTTGATAAGAGTGTAAACTTATCACCTTTGGGGGAAGTAATTTAGTACCTATTAATATTAAACATTTTCATAACCTTTGATTTAGCATTTCCACTTAAATTAGTGCCTTAGTTAGTTTGGGCTGCTATAACAACACCACAGCCTGGATGGCTTATAGACAACAGAGGTTTATTTTTCACAGTTCATGGGGCTGGGAAGTTCAGGTATCAAGGCACTGGCAGTTAAGGTGCTTGGTGAAGGTCCTTTTTCTGTTCCCAGTTCACAGATGTCCCACCTTCATTTTCTTTCTTTTCCTTCTTTTTCTTTCTTTCTTTTTCTCTTTCTCTTTCTTTCTTTCTCTCTGTCTTTCTTCCTTCTTTCTTCTTTCTTTCTTTTTTTTTTTTTTTTTTAACAGATGAGGGTTTTCTCTGTCACCCAGGTGGCTGGAGTGCAATGGTGTAAGCTTGGCTCACTGCAGCCTCAACCTCCTGGGCTCAACTGATCTTCCCACCTCAGCCGCCCGAGTAGCTGGGACTACAGGTGCATGCCACCAGGCCCAGCTAAATTTTTGTAATTTTGTAGAGACGAGGTCTCATTATGTTGCCCAGGCTGGTCTTGAACTCCTGGGCTGAAGCAGTCCTCCCACCTCGGCCTCCCAGATGCTGGGATTACAGACGTGAGCCACCACACCCGGCCCATCCCACCGCCTTGCTGTGGCAGGGAGAGCAATAGCCTCTCTTCATCTCTTTATAAGGGCACCAATCCCATTATGCCCCCATGACTTTATCCAAACCTCATTATAGCCCAGGCCCCACCTCCAAAGACTATCACATTGGGAATTAGAGAGCTTCAACATACAGTTTGAGGGGACTACAAACATTCCATTCATGGCAACTAGGAATTTATAGAAACACTCCCTCTAGTGTGCAAAAAAGTAAGTACAAGAATTTTTGGGGTTTTTTTGTTTTTTGTTTTGTTTTGTTTTGTTTTGTTTTCTGAGACAGGGTCTCGCTGTCACCCAGGCATGGTACAGTAGCATAATCACAGCTCATTGAAGCCTCAACTTCCCAGGCTCAAGCAATCCTCCCCGCTCAGCTTCCCGAATAGCTAGGACTATAGGCATACACCACCACACCCAGCTAATTTTTTTTTTTTTTTTTGAGATGGAGTCTCGCTCTGTCACCCAGGCTGGAGTGCAATGGCACGATCTCAGCTCATGGCAACCTCCGCCTCCTGGATTCAAGCAGTTCTCCTGCCTCAGCCTCCTGAGTAGCTGGGACTACAGGCGCATGCCACCACACCCAGCTAATTTTCATACTTTTAGAAGAGACAGGGTTTCACCATGTTGGCCAGGCTGGTCTCGAACTCCTGACCTCGTGATCCACCTGCCTCAGCCTCCCAAAGTGCTGGGATTACAGGTGTGAGCCACCGCGCCCAGCCTAATTTTTGTATTTTTTGTAGAGATAGGGTTTCACCATGTTGCCCAGGCTGGTTTCCAATATCTGGGTTCAAGCAATCTGCCCGCCTTAGCCTCCCAAAGTGCTGGGATTAGAGATGTGAGCCACGGCACCCACCCAAGAATGTTTTTTTGAGGCATTATGTCTACTAGTGAATAATGGGGGGGGGGGCCGTGGGGGGAGTACCAGAATAGTTAAAGTAGGCTGTGTATATACAATGAAATATCACAGTATCATTTTGTAAAGATCTATATGTATTGACATGGGAAAATGAGCACATCATAAATAAATAATAAAAGTTGCAGAACAATATAAACTGGAAGAAACATTTTTTTCAATCTTCCCCTCCATCCATCTTTGCTGATATATAAACAGGAAAAAGTTGGGGGAGAGAATACAGGAACACGGAACAAACAGTAAACAATGGTTATCTCATAGACGTGATTGGCGGCATTTTTGGTTTTGGTTTTCTTTTTGAGACGGAGTTTCGCTCTCTCACCCAGGCTGGAGTGAAGTGGCACGTTTTTGGCTCCCTGCAACCTCCGCCCCCCAGGTTCAAGCGATTCTCCTGCCTCAGCCTCCTGAGTAGCTGGGATTATAGGCACCTGCCACCATGCCCGGCTAATTTTTGTGTGTGTGTGTTTTTTTCAGTAGAGACGGAGTTTCACTATGTTGGCCAGGCTGGTCTTGAACTCCTGACCTCAGGTGATCTGCCCGCCTCGGCCTCCCAAAGTGCTACGATTACGGGCATGAGCCACTGCACCCTGCCATAGAGGGCATTTTTGCTTTCTGAGTTAGTCAGGGTTCTCCAGAGAAATAGAATATACATACATACGTACATACATACATACTTGCAGAGAGAGAAAGAGAGAGTGTGACTTATTTTAAGGAATTAGTTCACAAAATTGTGGAGGCTTGGTGAGTCCAAAGTCTGATAGGAGAGCCCAGCAGGCTGGAGACACAGGAAAGAGTTGCAGTTCAAGTCCAAAGGTGGTGTGCTGGAAACTTCTGACCAGAACAAAAGAGAGAGGACAGCCTTTTGTTCTAACCAGGTCTTCAACTGATTGGATGAAGCCCACCCTCATTACATTTAAAGTTCACCAATTTAAATGTAAATCTCATCCAAAAACACCTTCACAGAAACATCCAGAATAATGTTTGACTAAATATCTGGACACCATGGCCCAGACAAGTTGACACATAAAATTAAACATCGTAATGAGATCTGCTGCTATCTATGAATTTATGTTTCTAGTGTATTTGTAAGGTACATGGATCATTCCTTTATTTCTCTCTCTATATATATAGATATATATATACTTTTTATAATCATAAATATGTGTATGCATGCATATGTATGTATAAGAAAATATATATACATATAGACATAAAATTATGCATTTGTGCTAGGTACTTGTGATGGTTAATTTTATTTGTCAACTTGGCTAAGCCATGGTATTCAGATATTTGGTCAAACATTGTGGATGGTTTTGTGAGGGTATTTTGGATGTTTCAAATTGGTGCATTTTGAATAAAGCAGACTGCCCTCCACAATGTGAGTGGGCCTCATCCAATCATTCAAAGGCCTAAGACAAAAAGACTGAGGTCCCTGAGGAAGAGGGAATTCTGCCTCCACACCGCCTTTGGACCTGAGCTGTAACATCAACTCTTTGCTGCTGGCCTGCCTGCTCTGCAGATTTTGGATTTGCCAACCCCTATGATAGCATGAAACAGTTCTTTCATCTGATTGGTTCTAACTCTCTGGAACACCCTAACTAATACAGTGCTGTTATAGGTACTGAGAATAGAGTGATCAACAGGGAAGAAAACGTGCTGTCTTGGGGCCTTGCTGGCGGGTGGATGGTAGACACTCAATTGTGTGAGGCTCATTGGCCATAGAGGAACTCATGCAGGAGAAACTCACCTTGCCTAGGTTGAAAGGAGGGGAATCAGGCACATATTCCCCTCTGAGGAATATGTCAGCAGAGACTGGATGTGGCAAGACTACAGGTGGCGGGTAGGTGGGACAGAGTATTCCAGACCAGGGAACAAAAAGGGATAAAAGTCTTGGGGTGGAAAGGACATGTTTGAGAAACAGAAATAAGACCAGGTGCTGGGACCAGGAGTCCTACACTCATCACACTCAGTTACTCATGGGGTGACTTCAGAAGCCCTAAAAGATTTTGTTTCCCAATTTTTTTTTTTTTTTGACAAGATCTTGCTCTGTTGCCCAGGCTAGAGTGCAGTGGCACGATCATAGCTCACAGCAGCCTCAATCTCTCGGGCTCAAGTGATCCACCCACCTCAGCCTCCTGAGTAGCTGGGACTACAGATGAATGCATCATGCCCAGCCGATTTCTTTTGTTTGTTTGAGATGGAGTCTCGCTCTGTCACCCCGAGTGGAGTGCAGTGGCATAATCTTGGCTCACTGCAACCTCCACTTCCCAAGTTCAAGCTATTCTCCTGCCTCAGCCTCCCTAGTAGCTGGGATTACAGATGCCCACCACCACACCCAGCTAATTTTTGTATTTTGAGTAGGGACGGGGTTTTGCCATGTTGGCCAGGCTGGTCTCGAACTACTGACCTCAAGTGATAACGCCCGCCTCAGCCTCCCAAAATGCTGGGATTACAGGCATGAGCCACTGTGCCTGGCCCAATGCAATTTTAAGATGATTTTATGTATATTGTAGGAGAGAAAAATAGGTAAATATATTAAGAGTATTAAGAGCCAAGGCTTTCGATTGCCCTGATAAAAGATATACAAATACAAAGTCCAAGAAGAGGGAAAAACCTATAATGTACAATTTGAATTGGAAATACCAATATGAATTCATGATTTTTTTTAAACCCTAAATGTGACTTAAAGCGATGACACCTCTGTAGCAACGAGCTCTCCCAGCACTAAAGACCATTCCTCACTAAAACGAATCAATGTTCCTTAGAAAGATGGCTGATTTTGGCCAGGTGCAGTGGCTCACGCCTGTAATCCCAGCACTTTGGGAGGCCGAGGCGGGCAGATCACAAGGTCAGGAGATCGAGACCATCCTGGCGAACACAGTGAGACCCTGTCTCTACTAAAAATACAAAAAAGTAGACAGGCATGGTGGTGGGCACCTGTAGTCCCAGCTACTTGGGAGGCTGAGGCAGGAGAATGGCATGAACCTGGGGACAGAGCTTGCAGTGCGCTGAGATCACGCCACTGCATTCCAGCCTGGGCGACAGAGCAAGACTCGGCCTCAAAAAAAAAAAAAAAAAAAAAAAAAGATGGCTGATTTTGGCCAAGTGCAGTGGCTCATGCCTGTAATCCCAGCAATTTGGGAGGCTAAAGGCAGGCAGATGCAGATCACTTGAGGCCAAGAGTTTGAGACCAGCCTGGCCAACATAATGAAACCCCATCTCTACTAAAAG
The DNA here is from genome assembly GCF_000001405.40 of Homo sapiens. NCBI lineage: Eukaryota > Metazoa > Chordata > Mammalia > Primates > Hominidae > Homo > Homo sapiens. Next base: position 1,880,658 of record NT_167247.2, read on the forward strand.
TACAAAAATTAGCCAGGCGTAGTGGCAATGCCTATAATCCCAGTTACTCAGGAGGCTGAGGTGGGAGGATCACTTGAACTCTGGAGGCAGAGGTTGCAGTGAGCTGAGATCATGCCACTACACTTCAGCCTGGGTGACAGAGTGAGACTCTGTCTCAAGAAAAAAAAAGGAAAGAAAGAAAGAAAAAAGAAAAAGAAAAATGGCTGATTCCACATCTGGAGCTGGGAAAGTAAAAAAAAATTGTGCCTGGGACATCTAGTTGTGTCAAAAGCAAGCAAGTGCTCACAGAACTTTTGGGGTATGTCAGAATGGATGTAGGAGTTAGCTTAAAAGGGCTCCCACTGGGGCCCTCTCCCAATCTAGATCATTCTGGCCAATAAGGTGAAACCCCGTCTGTACTAAAAATACAAAAATTAGCTGGCCATGGTGGCATGCACCTGTAGTCCCAGCTACTCAGGAGGCTGAGGCAGGAGAATTGCTTGAACCCAGGAGGCAGAGGTTGCAGTGAGCCGAGATCGTACCACTGCACTCCAGCCTGGTGACAGAGTGAGACTCCATCTCAAATTAAAAAAAAAAAAAAAGGCTCCCACTGGACACATAAGGTACAGTTCGAGCACAAAAAAATAATGACTGTAACCAATTGTGAAATATTAAATGGATACCTGGCATGGTGTAGTCCCAGCACTTTGAGGCCAAGGCAGGTGGATCACTTAATCTCAGGCAACATGGCAAAACCCCATCTCTACAAAAAATACAAAAATCATCTGGGTGTGGTGGCATGCACCTGTGGTCCCAGCTACTCAGGAGGCTGAGGTAGGAGGATCACTTGAGCCTGGCAGGTTGAGGCTGCAGTGAGTGGTAATTGCGCCACTGCACTCCAGCCTGGGCAACAGACCGTGATGCTGTCTCAAAAAATAAAAGAAATACTGAATGGATAAAAACCCTAAATCTATAGTTTAAAAAAAGAAAAAAAATAAATTTTCTACCTTTGGAGATTAATATCATACCAATACCTTATTCTGAAAACTGGTAAAGGGAAATAAGCATTTACCTTGCCTTTTAGAAGGACCCTACTTTGGCCGGGCGCTGTGGCTCATGTCTGTAATCCCAGCACTTTGGGAGGCTGAGGCAGGTGGATCACTTGAGGTCAGGAGTTTGAGAAGGACCCTACTTTTTCCAGTTGGTGAGAGAAAGCTCCTTCCTAGGTAATTATGCCCTTATAAATGTAGAAGTGGGAGAATTAGAAAAGCACCTTTTGTAATTTCTGATGAAATAACCAATTCAAGCAAGAATCACTGTAGATGGCGATAAGAGAAAGTTTTTCAGCGTATACACACAGTGTCAAAGAACCATGCAGACGACTTGCTAATTGCCAAGAGGGAAACATAACCTTTACAGAAAAGATCTGACCGTGTCCATCCTAACCAAGCAATCATACTTAGCATCACTGCTTGTGGGATGGCTTCATATCATATGCCTTCTGATGTGAGGCAATGTGACATATATAGCAAGTTTGAGGAATTAGTCCCAAGACTGGGTAACCTGAATCTAACCAAGAAATTGGGGGAAAACCCCTCAAAACTCAGGGAGACAGATGAACACATTAAGTGACATCAAAGAAACAGTAAGACAAATCTAGAATGTTGAACAGTCTAAAAGACAACTGCCCTAGTATCCTCAAAGATCCAATTCCAAGAAGAAAAAAACTGGATGATTGTAGATTAAAAAGAAAGGGGTGAGAAAAGGACATAAAAAAATGCAATGTTGAAACTTGATTGGTTCCTGTTCTGGGAGTTTTTTAAAAGCTATATATTAAAACATCATGCTATACACCATAAATCTATACAATTTTTATTTGGTAATTATACTTAGGAAAAATTAAATGCTATAAAAGGCATTCAAATTGGAGAAGTTTAATGCTAGATGACATTAAAAATTATTAACTCATTAAACATGATGATTCTATTATGATTGTGTAAGAGATGTATATGAAGTATTTAGGGGTGAATGGTCATGATGTCTGCAAGTTTCTTTTTTTTTGAGATGGAGTTTTGCTCTGTCACCCAGGCTAGAGTGCAGTGGCACTATCTTGGCTCACTGCAACCTCCACCTCCCAGGTTTGAGCAATTTTCCCACCTCAGCGTCCTGAGTAGCTGGGATCATAGGCATGTACCACCATGCCCGGCTAATTTTTTGTATTTTTAGTAGAGACGGGGTTTCACCATGTTGGCCAGGCTGGTCTCCAACTCCTGGCCTCAGGTGATCCGCCTACCTCGGCCTCCCAAAGTACTGGGATTACAGGTATGAGCCACCATGCCCAGCCGATGTCTCCAACTTTCAAATGGTTCAGGGCTGGGTGCAGTGCAATCCCAGCACTTTGGGAGGCCGAAGGAGGCGGATCACCTGAGGTCAGGAGTTTGAGGCCACCTTGGCCAACGTGGTGTAATCTCGTCTCCACTAAAAATACAAAAATTAGCCAGGCATGGTGGTGCACACCTGTAGTCCCAGCTAATGGGGAGGCTGAGGCAAGAGAATCACTTGAACCCGGGAGGCAGAGGTTGCAGTGAACCGAGATTGCACCACTGCACTCCAACCTGGGTGACAGAGCAAAACTCCATCTCAAAAAGAAAAAAAAAGTTCAAATGGTTGAGAAAAGACAACACTTGTATACTGTTGGTAGGAATGTAAATTAGTACAGCTATTATGGAAAACTGTATGGCGGTTCCTCAAAAAACTAAAAATAGAATTACCATATGGGGCTGGGCACAGTGGCTCACACCTCTAATCCCATCATTTTGGGAGGCCAAGGTGAGCGGATCACCTGAAGTCGGGAGCTCGAGACCAGCCTGGCCAATATGGTGAAACCCCATTTCTACTAAAAATACAAAAATTAGTTGGGCGTGGTGGTGGGCGCCTGTAATCCCAGCTACTTGAGAGGCTGAGGCAGGAGAACCGCTTGAACCCGGGAGGCGGAGGTTGCAGTGAGCTGAGACCGTGCCATCGCACTCCAGCCTGGGCAACAAGAGTGAAACTCCATCTCAAAAAAAAAAAAAAGAATTACCATATGATCCAGCAATCTTGCGTCTGGGTATTTACTAAAGAGATTTGAAATCAGTATGTCGAGGAGATACCTGCACTCTCATGTTCGCTGCAGCACTATTAACCACAGTGAAGTTACATAGTCAAACCGAGTGTTCATCAGCAGATGAATGGATAAAGAAAATATGGTATATAGGCCGGGCGCAGTGGCTCAAGCCTGTAATCCCAGCACTTTGGGAGGTCGAGGCAGGCGGATCACGAGGTCAGGATATCGAGAGCATCCTGGCTAACACGGTGAAACCCCATCTCTACTAAAAGTACAAAAGAATTAGCTGGGCGTGGTGGCAGGCGCCTGTAGTCCCAGCTACTCTGGAGGCTGAGGCAGGAGAATCACTTCAACCTGGGAGGCGGAGTTTGCAGTGAGCTGAGATTGCACCAGTGCACTCCAACCTGGGTGACAGAGCAAGACTCCGTCTCAAAAAAAAAAAAAAAAAAAGAAAGAAAGAAAGAAAATATGGTATATATACCGTGGAATGCTATTCAGCCTTTAAAAAGAAATTTTGTCATTTGAGACAGCGTTAATGGAATTGGAGAACATTATGCTGAGTGAAGTAAGCCAGGCACAGAAAGACAAATACTGTATGTTCTCACTTATAAGTGGAATCTAAAACAATCGAACTTAAAGGAGGAGAGAGCAGAATAGTAGTTACCAGAGGCTGGGGGTCTGGGGTAAATGGGGATATGATGGTTAAAGGTTACAAAGCTTCATTGGACTGGAAAAATAAGCTTTTCTTTTTCTTTGAGATATACTGCACAGCAAAGTGAATATAGTAAATAATTCTTGGACATTTCATAAGTGTTGAGGGTAAATATCTTTTTTACATTTTTAACATATTCCCTCCTCTGAATGTAGAGAGTAAATTTCAAACATTCTCACCACAAAAAAAGTAAGTATTTAAAAGTGATAGATGTTGGGCCGGGTGCAGTGGCTCACGTCTGTAATCCCAGCACTTTGGGAGGTGGAGGTGGGTGGATCACCTGAGGTCAGGAGTTGGAGACCAGCCTGGCCAACATGGTGAAACCCCGTCTCTACTAAAAATACAAAAAATTAGCCGGGCATGGTGGCGGACGCCTGTAATGCCAGCTACTCGGGAGGCTGAGGCAGAAGAATCACTTGAACCCGGGAGGCGGAAGTTGCAGTGAGCCGAGATTGCACCACTGCACTCCAGCCTGGGCAACAAGAGTGAAACTCCATCTCAAAAAAAAAAAAGTGATAGATGTTAATTTGCTTGATTTAATCATCCCACAGTGTATTCATGAATCATAACATCACTTTGTACGCCATAAATATATACAACTATAATTTGCCAATTTACAATTAAAGGTTAAAATTTTTAAAAATAAAAGGTAATGACAACAAAAAAAATGGATAAGTAGACAGAAAAATCGATTAATACAGAAGCTGGCAAAAACTAGTAAAGCAAATATGGCAAAATGTAGAATTTGTTGAATCTTTCAGTATTTGGGTGTTTATTGTTCTTTTTCTATGTTAGAAATTTTTCAAAATAAAAAGTTGCAAATGATTTCCATATTATTCTGATTTTTACACAGTAACAGAAAACATTCCTGGCTGCAGCTCATTAATATTTCTTCTTTGTTCTCCTGAGGAATCAAAAGATTCTCATTTATGATATGTCAAAAGGCACATAAAGAAACATATCCAAACTTTGTTGTCTCTTCATTCAAGTTTGGCTTTAATATTTTATTAAAAATTTTTGTATTTGTAAATATTAAAACACTGAAACTTGCTACTGACACAAGAACGACAATGCACTAACAATAAAATCAAAGTAGAAGCTAAACTATTCAGAAGCAGTAGCAACTCCATGATTCCAAGGTAATTTAAACAGGCAATTTCAGAGTGCTTCAAGATGAAGGCGCAAAGCAGCCTCTCAGCCTGCAGTGATGCTACGACACCGGCAGATGGCGCTGCAAAGCTTCTCAAATGCAGCGGGAAGTCCATTTACCAACGGCTGTTGCGATCTCTTAATTAGCTTGAACTGAGTTTGTATTAGAATTTATAATTTTTACTGCATATTGCAGTTACTCGTATATTACTGACACTGGAACAGACATGTTTTAACAAACTGGTTGAGCCGTATCAGTGCGAACCAGCTGAATGTCAGCGCTGTTCCCTCCTGTGACAGAAGCCACCGGCGCCTGCCTGAGGGCACTCCCCTCACTGGGACTCTCAGTACCACGCCCACCTGTCCCCAAGGTTTGTTTCATCACTAAGCCCCACCTTCCAGCATTTTCACCTTTCTCCTTCACTTGATCCTTCTTCCTAACATCGTGTTAACACACTCCAAACTAAAAAAGTTCCTCAACTGCATATACTCTGCTCCCTCCATTTTTTTCTTTCATTGCAATCACTGCCAAACATTTTGAAAATTCTCTCCTCACCTCCACTGCCTTTACGCTTTTCCTCCAAATTATTCCTTAACCCTCTGACATCTGGGGCTTCTGATTCCACCTCTCCAAAGAAATGCTCCCACCAAGACCATGGAGGCCCCTCTCGTTGCTGGTGGATACTCGTTCATTTTCCCCGCCACCACCCATCAGCAGCGTTCCACGCCGCCCTTCCTTCCTTCCTTCCTCCCCTAGCTTCATCACACCACGTTACTAGGTTTTTCCTGTCTCACTGGCTCCTTTCCCTGCTCTCCTTTTTATATGTTTCCTGCTTTCTTCCTCAGCCTTCTCTGCTCCCCACACCTATATGTTGATGATGCCCAAATCTCTGTCTCCAGCCACGACCTCTCTTTCCCCAAGCTCCATTTGCATAAACTGTCTCTGATGAGATTTAGGGCGCTTACGGTGGTATGGCTGTAGACAACTGTCTCAGGAAACAGACCCATGACCCACCCAGTTGCCAAGTCAGAAACAGGATGTATACTCTTGACTTGTCTCTCTCCCCTACACAGCAAAACAATCCCAAGACATGTCAATTCTATCTCCTGAGCAACCCATAAAACGATTTCTCTTCTTTCCATCTTCCATTACCCTAATTCTGGTGTTCATTCTCTCTCCCTGGGATGGCTGTAAAAGCCTCTGATTTCTCCCCTTTCCAAACCAGTCTCCACACTGCAACCATAGTGATCTAAGGCACAATTCTCACCTTTTCAGTCTTAGGCTTAAAGTTCAACATCCCTCTGGATACAGTCTAAATCTTTAACACGGCTGAAAAGGCCCAGCAAGAGCTGGACCAAGCCCACCTCTCCAGCTTCACCTTTCCTCATTTCTCCTTTGCACCCTCTGCCTCTGAACAAGTTACAGTCTTCCAAAGTTGTCATGTTTCTTGACCTTTGCTGTCTCCTCTGCCCAGAATGCAATTTCCCTGTCTGGCTAACTCCTGTCCAGCATTTGGCCTCAGCATGGACATCTGTTCCTCTAGGACGCTTCCCCTGATTCACCAAGACCAGCTTAACTGCCCCTACTGGCTGTTCCTATAGCAATTCTTTACCACAGACTACTGATTTTTTGTGTTTGTTTTGTTTTGGCAGTCTGACATAACTTTATACTAATGCAGCTTCTAGCCCTGTCCCCCACTCCTTCCTGATCAGTATCCCAATGTCCCTCCTATATGGAGCCACCACTACCCCACAGGATCCTGTACCACCCTTCTCCCAGAACTTATCACACTTTTTTTTTGTAATTGTGTTTCCATTCTCCAATAAATTGTGAGCGCCACAAAGAACCATTTCTATCTCACTTACCACTTGGAAGTGACTGGCAGGTAGTAATTGCTCAACAAATGTTCTATGAGTGAATGAATCCTTGGGATAATTATAGTACTAACCATCTTATTTAGTTATGACAGTTCAATAGAAACACGTAAAATAATGCTTTTATAGTTTACATACTGCTATAGAGCTATTGTATTATATTATTATTATTCTATTCCTACCCTCTATTGCTTGAGAGTAGGATATTGCCTTATTCAATTTTGGTTATTGTCCCAGAACTCAGGGATATATGTCTGGCATATATTGTTTTTAACCAATTTTTGTTGACTGTATCAATGATTGTAAGAAGTGAACAAAGGGCCAGATAATTGAACTATCCTGGACCACACACAGCTACCCTGTTCCAGAAGCAGGACTATAATCCCATCTGGAAAAAGGGAAACTTGGAAGTTGACATCTAAATGAAATTCCAGCATGGATGAGAGAAGCCCTGATTTCTCTCCATCAAGAGACTAGCCAGCTATGGAAGCCACCAGAGCCCCAGACCTCCATGGTCAAGTATTCACATAGTAGACATGACCCAGACAAGAGGGTGCGTATTTCAGCGTGGAGGGGAGACTGGGCCCTTGGTTTCCTGTGTCTTTGTAGTCAGTTCTAACCTCAGCCTCAGGCACTGGTGTTGGGGCCCTATTCATCCTCATCTGCACGTCCCTCAGTTCTTTTCCTGTTGCTATTATCCTATAGAGTCAGCAAGTCATGGAAGAGGTTTTACAGTCTAACCCTGTGGGGGTGTCAGGAGTTGCCTCCTGCCAGGTCTTCAGCATAAAAATCCCCCCTCCTCAGCTCCCAGTCAATTCTTCATCCCCACCCCTAGACTCTCCCAAATACCCCTGATGAAACCCCTGAGGTGGAAAAAGATAAAGACAAGCAAAGATAAACAGCACAGGAAGCAGAGGTACAAATAGAATTCTGATTTTTCTCCTTTCTCTCCATATTTTGAGGAAATGAATCCAATGTCCTCACCCCACCTCCTGCAGCGGAGAAGTCCCCTGAGCATCTCTGAACATCATGAACCCTCAAAGTAAGCTTAGCTTGGGCCCCTTTTCCTTTTCTATCAGTGAGGCCAAAGAGCCCCAGATGGGAGACAGGTGGATTTTTCTCTCAGCTGGGACCTTTTCTCTTTCTTGTCTAGCACATTTTGGGAAACCTTCAAGTACATTCTCATGCTGGTATTATTTAAACTTTGCACTGGAGTGAATTCCAGGAGTTATGTCCACACTGAGACCAATGGAGATGAACCTAAAGCAATATGTGGCCAAACACCTTAGCCTCTTTAAATATACTTTCCTTTGCTCCTTGGTTAACAGGGTCTGTCTGCTCGCATTAGAGAAACTGCCCAGTGACTCAGATCCTGAAAGGATCTGCTTTAGAGAAAAAAGGAGTCTGGTACTTCTCACTCCATCTAGTGGGCAACCTGTCCAACTACACTTTTTGCTATCATCCAATACAGACAACACTGGCAGTCAATAAAAAAGCTCATTCTCCCATTTCTAAAAGAATTCAATCTAGGAGTCTAGCTGCTGGCTTAACAAAGGGATATACAGCAAAGCCTAAGGTGCCCTGACTCACGAGAGAGCTGATTTCTGCCGAAATGCTGAGGTGAAACCCTAAAATGGTTCTGGCCACCTGCTAGGTTCTAGCTCAGACCCTGCACTGGATCATCTTTGTTCCACCCCCAAACCAGAGTAAATGGAATTCAGGAGGCTGGTTCTGTGCCCGCCCCTATGTACCTCAAATACTCGTAGCTGCCAAGCTTTTAAACAATGAAACTTAACACTGTACTTAAAGGGCTGTTCTGCTCAAATCATAAATGTGCACGCTAGTTGTTCACCAGTAATTAAAACTACTCGTACACATTTAATCAACATTTTCACAAGCGTTTTGCCTTAACTAAAAATTTGTATCAACATGAAGTCCTAGAATTATACTGCATGAGCCCCCAGGATTTGGAGAACATCATTCACCCTTCTTAATCCAAAAACTTGGGTGCCTGAAGGTGGGGTTTTGATCATGGCCAGGCTTCAAATTTAGGTCAGGCTCTGGTGGTACATCCTTATATGCTTGGTGCTCAGCACAGGTCAAGACACACAATAGACCCTCAATAAATATTTGCTGAATTTGAACAATTCCTGTAAAAATCTCATTAAGAGACATCAGCTTGGGACACAGTTCCTCTCTTACTGTTCCTTCTCCCAGAAGCTCCTGGAATGAGCAGGTCTGGCGGCAGGGGGCACACAGGGCTGCTGCTCAAATCGGAGAATGGCACAAACTCCAAAAGGGAGCTGGATTTAGACCTCCCCTCCCCATGTAGATAACGGGATTCCTAAGGTGCAGAGTGGGAGAATGGGTAGAGGAAGCAGGTTTCAGAGACTGAGAACCTACTAAACTCCTAAGAGAACTTTCCCTTGCAAAGAGAATGCATGAAAAAAGAAGGGAGAAGAGGAGAGAAGCCTCCCACAGCTGTTAGCCTGGAACAGCCGCTCTCACCTCAGTTCATCTGGGGAAGGGGCTACAAAGCAAACAATCTTTATTCACAATTGGGGTGGCAGAGGGGAGATACCCCCAGGTCAGTCCAAAAGCAAAGATACTGGGAGGGAAGATGGCGCTGGGCGAGGAACTCAGCACTCATCCTCACCCAGCAGGGCATAAGGGTTTCGGCCAGCCAGGCTGGACCCTGGAGCCGAGGTTGGGGTCTCCTCATCCCCTTCTCCCTCCTCATCCGCATCCCGGTCCTCCTCTCCCTCCTCCTCACAGGAGCTGCTCAGCTCTTCCTCTTCCTCCTCCTCCTCGTCACCTGCTGGCCCCACCCTGCCCTGCAAAACCACCAGCTCCGTGGTCTCTGGATGGGACTCCCAGGTGCCTGGGGAACCAAAACAAGAAAAAAATGGAGGAGAGTTTTGAGCAAGAACTAAAGCCAAGGAAAGATGGGGAAGAGGCAAAGACTAGGAATAACAATAATCTTTAGAGCTGCTGGCATTCATTCATTCATCCATTCATTCAACTTCCTATGTGCAGATTGCTGAACAGAACCTTTGTGCACATCAACTTCAATCTTTACAATCACTATGCTAAGGGTCAATTATTACCCTCAGTTTGCAGATCAGGAAAATATCACAGATGTTAAGTAACAGAGCTAGCCAACAGGTACAGAATCCAGGTTTGACCCTCTCTCTGGCCACAAAGCCCACACCCTTTTACCTACGCTATAGCAGGGGGCTGGGGAAGAATATCTGGGCTCTGACCTTTCTGTTCACTGTAGCCTGGGGGATGAAAACACAGGCTGAGGCGGCCGTCCACTGCCAGCCGCAAGAGACTGTTGGCTGCTCTGTACACATCATTCCGAGCCGCCTTGGCTGTCTTGTAACCACGTTTCTCTGCCCAGGCTGGAGGAAGAAAAGAATAATGGAAAGGGAAAGCATTAACCAGGTACCAGTTATACTCCCACTCCCATAACACAGTCCTTCCAGTTTTCCCCAAAACATTCCAGGCCAGAGATCTTACTGGCTATGCAACAAAAATCTAGGGGTGAGTGGACAGCAGCTTCATCAATGGCAGAATCTCTGAGGAGAGGAAAGGAGACAGGGAAGGGTAAAAGGCGAGGCAGGTAAGGAAGAGCAGCTGAAACCAGGTGGGGCGAAGCCAGGCACATGGAACTCACCTTCACAGATGTCCCAGGCACACCAGGGGTGTTCCGCTGAGGGGTCCTCAGCCTCTGGGTGGCGCAGGTGGAGCAGGGCCTGCACGGGAATTCGGGAGGCCAGGTAGCCCACAGCAGTGTAGGGCTCCTGGATCTGGGCGATAGGGTAGATCCCTGCCAGAACCTGAGGGAAATGAGCACTCAGTACTTTCCTCAATGTCCCACCTTCTCTCTTTCCCTTACCCACCCTCCCCGTCATACCTGCAACTGCCTAGGCAGAAGAGATGGGAAGATGAGGCCTGGGCAGTCACAGAGCTTCACAGAGGGGGTAAGAAAGTAGGTCTGAAAGTATCGGGTATGGCCCGGGGTTCTGGAGACACTCACGACTTTCCGCCCCACCAGCCCATTGATCAGCGAGGACTTTCCCACATTAGGGAAACCTGAGGAAGGCAAGGAAAATTAACGTTTAACAGGTTTCTACTCTGTGATGGGACTTGGTGCTATACCTATAGGTAAAAGGGGAACTAAGGCTCAGAAATTAAGGAAATGGTATTGCAGAATACAAATCACGCTCTGGGCTGCCAGGGTTAAATCCTGGCCCTTCCACTTACCAGCTTTGTGATGTCAGGGCAACTAACTTTCTGAGCCTCTGTTTCTTCATTTTACAGTGTGGACACCTCCCTACCTCAGGGTGGTCAGGATTAAATGAGATAACCAATACAACTTGTGTGGGTCAGTGCCTGCAGTACAGTAAGTACCCAGTACCAGTGATCCACATCTCATAATTACTATGACTTGGCCTGGCACAGTGGCTCACGCTTGTAATCCCAGCGTGATTACTTTGGGAGGCCAAGGCGGGTGGATCACCTGAGGTCAGGACTTCAAGACCAGCCTGGCCAACATGGTGAAACCCCATCTCTACTAAAAATACAAAAATTAGCTGGGCGTGGTGGTGGGCGCCTGTAATTGCAGCTACTTGGGAGGCTGAGGCAGGAGAACCACTTGAACCCAGGAGGCGGAGGTTGCAGTGAGCTGAGATTGCACCATTGCACTCCAGCCTGGGCAATAAGAGGGAAACTCCATCTCAAAAAATAATAATAATAATTACGATGACTTGTCCAAGGAGAAAACTGGAAGCCTTGGGGCTCACTGCCACTCTGCTCACTCACCACCACCAGTTTTTGTGTTTCTGGCTGACTTCAGTGCCTTCATCTCCCTTCCACAGAGCATCTCCTTTACCCCACCTCAGCTGCCCACTCCCATGGTAATACCTGCATCTTGTCACTTCACAGCTCCAAAGCCTCAATTCCAAGCACCCCTCTCTGCCCTGACAACTCATCTTTCCAGCTCACTTACTCTGGTTACTCCATGCCAGTAAGTCTTTGACCCCTGACCTTAACACAGTAACACTATGCAATACCCAACTCGTGTCCTCAATTTCCTTCTTACTTGACTCAGATTTCATGATCCAGCTCCTCAGCCAGGCCCGTTCACAGACCTGGAACTCCCTGGTCCCACTTCTCCCCTCTATCTTACTCACCTGGCAAAATCCCAACCCTGTAAAATCCAGCTCTGCCCATTCAGCACTGCTCCTGGGCAGCTGACTGTGGCTAAGAAAAGATGTACCACTGTGCTCACTCTTTACAACACATGCAAGTATCTAGGAGGAAGGGAGGGAAGGAGGGAGAAAAAAGTTCTCCTTTGACGACCACCACCAGACCTAGTTCTCTGTCCGCTTTGCAGGAAAACTCCTTAAAAGACTTACCTACTTTTTTCACCATTTCTTCCTGCTATCTTCTTTGTAACTGTAAACTACAACATACAAAAAAATGCACAGAACATACATGTGCAGCCTGATGAACCCCATACCACCCAATGTGTGACAACATGTTCCATCTGTCCTTGTTTTTTTTGTTTTTGTTTTTGAGACAGAGTCTCACTCCCTCACCCGGGCTGGAGTGCAGTGGTGCGATGTTGGCTCACTACAACCTCATCCTCCCAGGTTCAAGCGATTCTCGTGCCTCAACCTCCTGAGTAGCTGAGACCACAGGCGTGCGGCTCCACACCTGGCTAACTTTTTGTATTTTTAGTAGAGATAGGGTTTTGCCATGTTGGCCAGGCTGGTCTCAAACTCCTGACCTCAAGTAATGCGCCTGCCTCAGCCTCCCAAAGTGCTAGGATTACAGGGATGAGCCACCATACCGGCCGCCACTCATCCTTCTTGATCATAATCCTCTCCCTCTATACATGCAAGCTTTATCCTTTTAAGGAAATCAACTCCTTACATTTCTCTTTAGTTTATGACCTGTGTATCTCTCAACAATGCAGCTTAATTTTGCAGCTTTCAAACTTGATAGAACTGAAATTGTGCAGTATGGATGCTATTGGGTCAGACTCTTTTCACACAATGTTATGTGAAGTTGTTGCACCTTCTCTCATGGGCCTACTCCAGTTTGGCTTTCTCCACCCCACTGAAACCACGGATCTTCACATTGCCAAGCCTGCTGAGCAGCTCTCTGTTCTCTCATTTGGCCTGTCAGCAACAGTTGACACAGCTGATTCCTCCTTTCCTCTTCAAACACCTTCTTCATTTGACTTCTGGGACGCTCCCTTGGTTTTCCTCCTTCTCACTGTCCTTTGCCCAACTAAATGCTGGCTTGTCCTAAGGCTCAGTCCTTGACCTCCTCTTCTCCAACTATTTCCTTTCTCTCCTACATCTCATCCAATTCCATGGCTTTTTTTTTTTTTTTTTTGACGAAGTCTTGCTCTGTCACCCAGGCTGGAGTGCAGTGGTATGATCTTGGCTCACCGTAACCTCTGCCTCCAGGATTCAAGCAATTCTCCTGCCTCACCCTCCTGAGTATCTGGGACTACAGGCACGCACCACCACACACGGCTAATTTTCTGTATTTTTTGGTAGAGACAGGGTTTCACCATGTTGGCCAGGCTGGTCTCAAACTCCTGGCCTCAAGTGATCCACCTGCCTCAGCCTCCCAAAGGGCTGGGATTATAGGCATGAGCCACTGTGCCCAGCCTAATCCTGTGGCTTTAAATACCACTTATATCCATCAATGGTTCCCCAAATTTAAATCTTTCCCAAATTCAAATTTCCGTCCTCTTCTCTCCCCTAAGCTGCTGACTACTTACCCACTGCCTATTCAACATCTCCACTAGGGATATTTAAAAAGAATCTGAAATTTCATTTCTGATTCCCCTCTCCTCCCCAAAGCCTTCAAATCTGCTTCTCCCCCAGTCTTCCCATCTCAGTATTTCCAGTTGCTCAAGACAAAAACCTGGAAGTCCTTCTTTATCCTCACTTTCCTTCACGTGCCAACTGCAAGCCATCAGCGATCTCATTTTCTCTACCTTCAAAATATATCATGCTTCCGGCCCTGTCTCACCACCTCCAGCTCCAGCATCCTACTCTAAGCAACTCTTATTTCTCTCCTAGATTACTGAAATAGCCTCAACTGCTCTCTCTGCTCCCTTTCTTGCCCACCCCCCATCATTTATTCTCTACTCAGGAGGTAAACTTATAAGAAACAAAATCAGATCCTATCATTCCCCTGTTCAAAACCTACCCTTGGCTTCTCATGAGACTTGGAATAAAATCCAAAATGGCTGTCACAGCCTCAGGGCTCTACATGATGTGGGCCCTGGTGATCTTGCTGACCTCATCCCCAGTACTTTATCCTGGCTCCCATACTCCAATCCCCTGGGCACTCTTGCTGGTCCTAGAATCTCCAAGCCCGTTCCCTCCTCAAGACCCTTTCCCCACAGTTCTGAATGGCTCACTTCATCTCATCATCCAGTTCTCTCCTCAGGGAGGTTTTCCCTGAGCACCTCTCCTCTCAGTCACTCTCTATCCCCTTTCATTGCTTTATTGCCTTCACTGCCCCTACATGATTTCGGATCACAAAATCTATTTACTCACAAGAAAATAAGCTCCATGAATCTACAGACCTTTTTGCCATTTCCACAGCAGTATGTCCCATCCCTAGAATATCTGGCACCTGGTTAAGTGTTCAGTACATATTTGTTGAATGGGTAAATGAATGAGAGCTGGAGGGAAATCCAAACTCAGGGGTGCCTGTGCCACAGCAAACACTCTCCCTCTCACACCACCTGGAATAGAGATCAGCTAGAGCAGAGGCTGCTAAGAGAGGGAACAGAGGCTCCTTGTGACAGGGAGACTAGGATCAGAAGTCAGGGAAGGGACAGCCGGGTGAAATGACTGGAAAGAGGAGCAATCACTCAGCAGTAAGGCAGGTTCTTCCAAAGACAAAAAGGACACAGAGATAAGTCAGGGCACTTCCAAGGAACCCAACTACCTACTCCACACTCCCAAATTTATTCTGGGTTGGGCCCTTTTTGGTTCCAATATCACCTCAGATACCATAACTTGTCCAAGGTCTCTTCTTACCTCTCCCACCCTAAATGAAGACGGGCCCTGGGTCCTAATCATACATTCCTTTTTCCTCCACTGTGAGCTGAGACAAAGCCCTTAAGAGGAGATTCTCCTTGGCAACAAACTTAAAGGGTTAAAACCTAGAAGAATACTAATTCTTGCTGAGCTCCTACTATGATTTGATAATCACTGTACTACAGACTAATTACTACAATTCAAATGGTTTATATAAACCACTTAAAACAGTGCCTGTTACATAGTAAGCACCATATAAATACTGAGTTTTAACAATAATAATTGTTATTATTGTTATCACTATTTGTCAGGCATTCTTACACTCTCTTAACACTATTCCCATCATTCCTCACATCCATTCTTTTTTTTTAAAGACAGGGTCTCTATCAGCCAGGCTGGAGTGCAGTGGCACAATCATAGCTCACTGCAGCCTTGAACTCTTGGGCTCAAGTGATCCTCCTGCCTCAGCCTCTGAAGTAGCAGAGACTACAGGCACATACCACCACACTTGGCTAGTTTTCTTTATCTTTTGTAAAGATGGGGTTTCACTATGTTGCCCAGACTAGTCTTGAGCTCCTGGTCTCAAGCAATCCTCCCACCTCAGCCTCCCAAAGCGCTGGGACTATATAGGCATGAGCCCTCACACATGGCCGTCATCCATTCTTTTACTCAGGTATCAATGTCCTTATTTTTAAAATCAAAGTAACTAAGACTCAGAGTAGCAAAATCACTTACTCAAGACCTCACAGCTGAGAAGAGGTGGAATTTAACTCAGGCTGTCATGATCCTTCCACTGCAGCAGACGCCTCTTCTGCCTTGCCCACCGCCACTGGCAGAGATCACCCCTCAGACACCCTGGGGCCTAATGAGACCTGATCGCCCTCTCTCTTCTCCGAATATGAAAACTCTGTACCTCCTTGGAGGCCACCACGCACAAGCTGCCACTTCCTTACCCACACAGCCGATGGTCACCACCCCATCCTTGTAGCGCTCTTGGGTTGGGCCAGTTGGCTCCATTGCTGAATCAGTCTGCTGCTCCACCAGGACTGCTGGGCCATCCTCCTCTTCCTCCTCCTCCCCAGAGCCATTACCCCAGGTGGCCCCAGCCACATCCCGAGCAATCTTCTCCCGCCAGCTGCTCAAGTCCACTGCTCAAAGAAGGAGAAGATTAAAGAGGTTCTCCCCAGGGCTGCTGTGCATGATGGCACATACTGTGCCCTGCACAGATTATGTAACTGGCACCCTCTGGAGTTGTACAGTGCCAACCTAAATAAGAGCAGGTCAGAGAATCTCCCAAAAGTCATTTGACCCTACCCTCCCTGGAATCACGCACGTTTCTCTGAGCTTCTGAAAAGTACTGGGAAGGCTAAAGGCAGCAAGCCACTGAGGCTCCTGACTACCTGCTGCCTCTCGTCCCACCAAGTCAGTCTGCTCCTTATTCTGTCCCTTCCCCTGGCCTCTTGCACATATCCACCATAGAGGGGTTGGCTTCAGGAAAGGTGAGCAAAATGATTCTGCATCTTTGGTCTCCCCCATGTCCTCCTACAGCCCTCCTCTAAGGGCCACATACCTTTCCCCACAGTGATGGCTTCACAGGCTCTCAGCAACTGCTCTGGCCCCAGGGCCCGAGTCCATCCTCTCCCCCGCCTCCGACTCTTCTTCAAGACTGAGATCAGAGGGCACAAAAGGATGGGCACACGGGCTTAGGCCTCTCATCTCTCCCACCACCCTTAGGCCCAAGACCAGGTGCCCCCTTGTCAATAAGCCTCTCTGTTCTCCCCTTTGTCCCCTGCCAACTCACCTCTCCCAAGTTGCCCTCTCTCATTGCCCACTCACCACTACTAGGGTCCTGTGGGGTGCGGGGGTCCCGAGGAAAAGAGGTGAAAAGGACGACGTGGAGCTGGGGATAGTGTTGATGGAAATAATGCTTCCAGGCAACCACAAGAGCTGGCGGGGCCAGATCCACCTTGTTCAAAACCAGCACCAGGGCCAGTCCAAGTTCTCCAGTCACATACTCATAAAGTGCTGGCGGGAAATTCACAACCTAGGACAGAGTTGATAAGAGGATGGAGCAGTGAAAGTCAACCCAGAGTTCTCTGCCTCCAGCTCCCCACTCAGCAGGTGTAGCTCAGAGACAAGGCCCTGGTGGTAGCAGACTCTGGGCTAAAAACTATAAACCAGACAAACTGAAAAACAAAGACAAAACAGGGGTTAGTAATACTTCTGAGTCTCAGAGGGCTTCCTATAGGTCATGATTAGAGATGGAAATGAACCCAAAACAAGACAAGGAAACAGCATCACTTAGCACACTGAGGTAAAGGCTGGGATCGGAAACAGGGATGGGGGTTAGGGTAGAAATTAGTCTGCTTTTTTGTGTGTGCACAACTATGTAAGTGTGTACACGTGCATATATGCATGCATGCAAGTACGTGCACATGTGTGCATGTTTGTGTGTTAATGTGACTGTGAACATGTGTGCAAACATGCCTGTGTATATTGATGTGCACATGATGTACGTGTGAGTATGTGTGTGTACATATTATTAAGGACCTCCAACCTAAATGGTCCTCACAGACCTCCCTTTCTCCCACTGGAGGACAAGAGTGAAGTTGCAGAGCTAGGATTCACACAGGGCAGTCCAGCAGCAGTCTACAGCCTTAACTACTACTCTAGCATTCCAGGTGGGTTCTGTAGCAACTGATGTGGCAGTGCTAGAGAAATGAGATAAGGAAGAAAGGGCATCTTTGGGCTGGGCAGGAGGAAGTCCCCAGCTGCATTCATAGAATCCCTGGAGCTCCAACACTTGGATTTTCTATTGGTCTGTGATGAGCTAAAGGACAGGACATGGCTGTTTTGAAGAGAAGAGTGAGCTGGCCAAGGGAGGAATGACAGGCTATAAGAGAATAAAAAACTGAGTTCCTAACTGCGGACATCAGCACTAGGTAGAGATTAGAAAGACAGGAAGATAGATACCTCTCTGTCTCCCAACTCTTGCCTCTGACCTTTGCCCCTGAAAAACCTTTCTCCCTCCTCCTTGCCCACCCTTATCCCTAGTACTCACTGGATGTCGGATATCAGTGATAAGCAGGACGATGTCAGACATCTCTAACACCCGCCACAGCTGCCTCCATGTCTAAAAAGACAGGATCAGGAAGAGAAACTGAAAACAGAGTCCCTCTCCAGCCTGATCCCAAACCAATTTGACCATAGGTCACTATGCCCCACTCCTGTCCCTAGAGTACACTGTCACCTCCAGATTGTGCTCAAAGTAGCTGAGTTTCTCAGAGGAGTAAGCCCCATGAATCTTCCCAAGATAGTCTTGGAAGCTCCGTTCCTCTTGGCTCATTAGTTGCTCCTTGGACATCTCATAGCTCCAAGGAGGACGTCGAGGAAAGTCCAGAACTGGGAATTCAGGAAAAAGTCCAAGTGTGAGGAAATCTTCAGGATTCAAGAGTACATCCCAGACCCCTCCTTCCTCACAGTCGGCTTTTACCTTTCCAAACTCCTTCCCCAGCCCAATGCCTGTCTTGCTCTCACTCACCTGAGCCAGGCTGATACACCTCCCGGATGTCCAGCTCCAACAACTCAGCACTGACCGGCTGTAGAACTTGCTCCCGGGCTGCTCTCTTTCTCCTCTCTACCTCCTCCCTGCTGTCTCTCTCAAAATGCAGTCGGTATCTAAGGGAACAGGGACCGAGACATCCAGAGCAATCCTGTGGCCACAAACTCCTATTTTCTCCCCTCTTGTACAATCAACTTCGCAAACCATTCTCTCCAGAGTCGTTCAAGTCTCCTCTCTCAAGTCAGACTTCCCCCAAGTCCTTCTTTCAGGCAATACTCAGCCTTCTCCTTCTAAAAGCCCAACTCTCTCCAGCCCCTCTGGAAAGGAAGACTGTGGCCCGCTGTGGGGAGCCGAGTGGCTAGCGGAGAACTGTGGCATCCCAGGCCCACCGTCTTCACCAGTAGCAGCCCGCTTTCCCCCAAAGCTCTGACTTCCGGGTAGGCGGGAAAGCCGGGACCAGCGCCCCCTCCCACCCTCACCGATTTGGGTCGTAGCCTCGTGGACCCAGCCCCTGAGAAGGCTGCTGGTTAAGCCTGCGGATATGATGGGTCACAGACTCCCCGTCCGAGGTGTCGGTCTGTTCCTCTCGCCGCTCCCGGCTCCCGCTGCGGCTGTTGGAACTGGAGCGCAGCCCATCTTGAAGCCCTGCGGGGAGGGGCCGGTGACGCCAGTGCTGGCCAGCTCTCAGGGGCCATAAGACCCTCTCCCCCATCGGCCTGACTCCCTTTCATCCCACTCAACTTCTTCCGATGTTCAGTCCTCCCAGACACCCTATTTGGGACCCTCCCGGATGTGCGTGGGGGGAGTCACTCCTTCAGGGAGCAGTGGGGACGGCGCCCCGTGCTAGCTGGAGGGATTCCCCTCCCCCAACTCTCCATCCTTCCCCACCCCTTCCAGATGTAGGGGGGGTGGGGGATCCCCTCCGCGATAGGCCGCGAGGGTTGACGCGGTCCCACGACCCCCTCCCACGATCCCCAGAGGTGCAGCGGGCACACCCCTCCTTCCAGATGTGCGGAAGCCCGAGCCCCGCCCCCTCCTCCCGCTCCCGCACTGACCTCTCTTCCGCTCCCGTTTGTCCTGCAACTGCTTCTTCTTCTGCTTCACGCTGAATGGCTTCTTCCTCGGCATGGCCCGGACCAGTCACCTGGCCCGCCCTCCGCCGAGCTCCCGCCGCCTCAACTGACTGCCCCCCGGGGCAGCCCCCGCCGCAGGGGCCCGGGACCCTAGAGGAGGCGGGGCTAGCAGGTGACGTCAGCGGGCGGGCCCGACAGAATTACCGCCGCGGCGGCGATGGAAGGCGGACGGGGGAGATATAGTCACTTCCCTCCAGGAGCGAGGCGAGAGGATGATGCGGGGTGGGCTACTGGCACGTGAGAGCCAGTGGCACCGAGAGGGCGCCCCGGCGGCGAGGAAGGAGGCGCGCGTGGGAGGACCAGGCTAACTCCGTCACGGACGCTACCAACTCGCGTTCGGAGGAGGGGGGGCGCGTGTCATCACTACCTTGCGCTCCCGGGAGAACCTACCACTCACCTGGAGGGGGCGGCGGAGCGGAGGGCGGGGCCTACTACCTAGGGGAGAGGGGGCGTGGACACGCTGAGGCTATACTACAAAGCCCCGGGCTTGACCTTAGTGGAAAGCCGAGACTGCGTCCAGGTTGCTGGACTACACCGGGGGCACGGTCAGAGGTCTTTAGGGGAGGGCGGCGGTCTGAGAGTCCTGGGTGCCGACCTGTTGGGACCCAAATTCCTTGTGGGAACGATGATAAGGAGCAGGTTTACAGATCATAAGTGCAAAAGCGGGCGAGAAGGGAAACCCAAGCGGGACAAGGACTTTTGGGGGGAGGTCAAAGGGCACGAAGTTGTGCCTGCAGCTGTTACCATAGTAACCGAGGACCGGATGTGGCGATCTTACGGTGCGACAGTCCTCTTCTCAGGCCCTCTGGCCCGAGAGCCTGTTGACTCTGTGACACACTCTGAGGAGCTGGTTGTGGTGTTTTCCAGCGAGGGAAGAAAAGAGTAATTTTTTCAAAGCATTTATAGAAACGCAGCAAAGGGAAGGTGTGAGGTTGCCGCCATGCCTGGCAGAGACGGAGGGAGGCAGTTGGCTCCGGAATGCGGCCGCCGCAGATGTTCTCCGCAACCTTCCGGAAGTGGAATGGCGGGAGCCTCAGCATTGCTGCCCACCGACCCCCCGGAAGCGGAAACAGAATCCCCGCGTGCCCCTTCCTCACTACCCTCCAAATCCCGCTGCAGCCATTGCCGCAGACACGATGCCGAAACGAAAGAAGCAGAATCATCACCAGCCACCGACACAGCAGCAGCCCCCGCTGCCCGAGCGGGAAGAGACTGGAGATGAGGAGGATGGGAGTCCCATCGGTGAGGGGTCTGGGAGGGATGTGCACATGCCTGTCAAGCCCGTCCGGGCAAGGGGCTAGGGGCTAATAAGGTGCGAAGGAGGGGGCTGTAACGGAAGGAGGAAGGGCGCACGCGCTGGGGAGGGATGGAAGTGGGGCTCTCCCAAATGGAGCCTTGAACCAGGAGTTCTCTTACTGGAACCATCAACCTCAATACGGCCCCAGACCTTTCTGGAGAAGGCGGGGGTGGAGAGAATAAAGAGCTCTTTTGCGCAGCCGCAGAACAGTAGGGGAAAGGGGTAGTAGAGATGTTGCAGATTGCGATGACTGGGATGACAGTTTGTATCCAGACTTTGACTGAAAAGGTACAGGTGCAGCTTTCTCTAAACTAGTCCTCTGGCCAGCAGTTAAGGTGAGGGATTGGTTCATGTCTGGAGACACTTAGGTTGTTTTGGATAGCGACGGTACGGTGAAGAAAAAAAGTTGTCAGTATCTTTTCCTGCATTATCCCCTTTGATTGAATATCTACTTTTTGCAAACCCTGAAACAGCTTTGCAGAAAAAAGGGCAGATAGATGGGGTGAGAACTCCCAAGACTGCTGAAAATATACCTGACTTTACTGGTTGAATTAAGAAATAAGTAATACAAGAAAAACACCTAAGAACAGAATCATCAGTCCTTTAATCCATTCTGATGACCATATTTTCATGTCTGCTCTTAGGACCACCCAGCCTTCTGGGCCCTCCCCCCATGGCCAATGGAAAACCTGGCGACCCTAAGTCAGGTGAGGAGGAAGGGGCCCTGATCCTTGTATTAGGTCGTAGAGAAGACAGCAAGGGAGGGGATAAAACCCAGGAAGGACTTAAAAATAAAAGATCAGGGATTCCATCCCTAAATGAATGGAGAGAAGTTGTATATTTGCTGATTTAAAAACTCAATGTTGTAAAAATGTCACTTCTTCCCAAATTGATAAACAGATTTCATGCATTCCAAGTCAGAACACCCATAATGTTTTTGTGGAAATACACATTATTATAGGGAAATGCAAAATATCAAGGCGACTATCAAGACAATCTTGAAGTGGGAGGGCTTACTATGAATATCAAGATTTGTAAGCTGGGCATGGTGGCACACGCCTGTAGTCCCAGTTACTCAGGAGGCTGAGGTGCGAGGATCCTTTGAGCCCAGGAGTTTTTGAGGCCACTCTGGGCAACATAGTGAGATCCTGTCTCTAAATACAAGAAGAAAAAAAGACTTACTATAAAGCTACAATAGTTACAACGATGCAGTTTGGAAACAATGATAGACATAAGTCAATAGGACTTATGTCCCGAAGAGTCCAATAACAGGCCCATACATGTGTGGACACTTCATTTATGATGAAGATGGAACTGAAAAGTTGGTCTTTTCAATAAATGATATTGGATCAATTGGATATTCATGTGAAAAAAATGGAATTTCACCTTGCACTCATAATCATATACAAAGATCTATTTCAAATGGACTGTAGATCTAAGTATAAAAGGTAAGAGAATAATTATTCTAGAAAGTAAATGTATTTTCTAAGAGTAGCTAAGAGTTCTTAAACAGACAAGAAATGCACGTATACACACTAACCATAAAGGAAAGATTGATAAATTGAACTCCGTTAGAAAATATAAATTTGCGGCTGGGTACAGTGGCTCACGCCTGTAATCCCAGCACTTTGGGAGGCCGAGGCGGGCGAATCACGAGGTCAGCAGTTCAAGACCAGCCTGACCAACATGGTGAAACCCCTGTCTCTACTAAAAATACAAAAATTAGCCGGGCATGGTGGTGTGTGCCTGTAATCCCAGCTACTGAGGAGGCTGAGACAGGAGAATCGCTTGAACCTGGAAGGCGGAGGTTGCAGTGAGCTGAGATTGCACCACTGCACTCCAGCCTGGGGGACAGAGTGAGACTGTCTCAAAAAAAAGAAAAAACAAAATACAAACTTGCCAAATAATACCATTAAGAAATTAACAGGAAGCCATACAATAGAAGATATTTGCAATAAATATAACAAATAAAGATCCTGTATCTATAATATATAAAGAACTCTTCCAGACAAGCCATTTGAAAAATTGACAAAAACACAGGACACCTTATTAAAATGGAGATCTAAATGAACTAAAGGTCTAAATGAACAAGTACTCAATATCATTAATTGTCAAGTAAATGCAAGATAAAAATATACCACTTTGAAATTAGAACTCTTGTGTACTGCTGCTGGGATTATAAAATGGTGAAACTACTATAGAAAACAATATGAAGAGGTTCCTCTTAATTAAAAATAGAACTACCAGATGACAAAAAAATTAAAAATAGAATTACCCCAGAACTCCTGCTTCCAGGTATATATCAAAAAAAAAAAAATGGAAAGCAGGGTCTTGAGATATTTGCAGACTCATGTTCATAGCAGCAGTATTCACAATAACAAAGAGGTGGAAGCAACCCACATGTCCACTGATGGAAGGATAAATGTGGCGTGTACATACAATGGAATATTATTCAGCCTTATGAAGGAAGAAAGTGCTGTCACATACTACAACATGGATGAACTTTGAGGACTTTATGTTAAGTAAAGACATAGTGTATTATTCCACTTATCTGAGGTGTCTAAAGTCAAATTCAGGGGCTGGGCATGGTGCTTCACGCCTGTAATCCCAGCACTTTGGGAGGCCAAGGCAGGCAGATCACTTGAGGTCAGGAGTTCGAGAACAGCCTGGCCAATATGGCAAAACCCTGTCTCTACTAAAAATAGAAAAATTAGCTGGGCATGGTGGTGCACACCTGTAATCCCAGCTACTCGGGTAGCTGAGGCATGAGAATTGCTTGAACCTGGGAGGCAGAGGTTGCAGTGAGTCGAGATCACGCCACTGCACTCCAGCCTGGATGACAGAGCAAGATTGTCAAAACAAAAAATAAAAATAAAGTCAACTTCAAAGAAACAGTAGAATGATGGTTACCAGAGGCTGGGGGAAGGAAGCTGGAGGAAGGGGAGTTTTGTTTAATGGGTACAGAGTTTCAGTTTTGCAAGATAAAAAACTTTTGGAGGTCGGGCATGGTGGCTCGTGCCTGTAATCCCAGCACTTTGGGAGGCCAAGTCGGGCGGATCATGAGATCAGGAATTCAAGACCAGCCTGGCCAATATGGTAAAACTCCATCTCTACTAAAAATACAAAAATTAGCCAGGCGTGGTGGTGGGCGCCTGTAATCCCAGCTACTTGGGAGGCTGAGGCAGGAGAATCACTTGAACCCAGGAGGCAGAGGTTGCAGTGAGCCAAGATCGCGCCACTGCACTCCAGCCTGGGCGACAGAGCGAGACTCCATCTCAAAAAACAAACAAAAACTTGGAGATCTGTTTCACATCAATATGAATATATGTAACACTACTGAACTGTACACTTAAAAATAGTTAAGATGGTAAATTTTATGTGTTTTTTACCACAATAAAAACCGAACAAAACAAGGCATGATGATTCATGCCTGTAATCCCAGCACTTTAGGAGACCAAGGTGGGAGGATCACTTGAGCCCAAGAGTTCAAGACCAGCCTGGGCAGTGTGGCAAGACCCAATCTCTCATTAAATAAATAATAATAACCAAACAAAAAAATAACCACCACTTTTCACACTCACCATGGCAAAATTTAAAAACCTAACAATTCCAAGTGTTGTCAAGGCTATAGGACAACTGCTGGTGAGAGTGCAAATTGGTATAACCACTGTGAAAAAAAAGTTTGGCATTATGTATGAAACTTGAGCATAACATATACTTTATAAGCCAGTAATACCTCTACTACGTATATATTCAACAGAAATGCATACGTATGTGTAACAACATGTATAAAAATGTTTATAGTGGCATTTCTCGTTATAGCCCCAAACTGGATACCACCCACATGTCCATCATCAGTAGAATGGATAAATAAATTGTTGTGTATGCATGCAATGGGACTACACTGCAACGAAAATGAATGAACTGCTGCTACAGGCAACCTGGATGAATCTCACAAACATGATGTTGAGCGAAAGGAGCCAGACATAAAAGAATGCAGACTGTATGATTCCATTTTTGTGAAGTTCAAAAACAGGCAAAAACTAACCTATGGTGTCAGGATAGTGGTTACCTTTGGGGAGGAGGGTGGGTAATGGGAAAAGGGGCACA
Source organism: Homo sapiens (assembly GCF_000001405.40). Classification (NCBI taxonomy): domain Eukaryota; kingdom Metazoa; phylum Chordata; class Mammalia; order Primates; family Hominidae; genus Homo; species Homo sapiens. The sequence continues at coordinate 1,905,662 of NT_167247.2, forward strand.
AGGGGAGGATCTTTTGAGGTGCTAATAAGGCTTTATCTCTTCACCTGGTGGTGGAAACTCAAGTGTGTCTACTTTGTGAGAACTGGGTTGTGCACTTAAAACTGGTGTGTCTTTATGTATGCTGTTCTTCAATAAAAAAAATTTTTTTAATCACGGTTTATCAGGATTCAGCTGCCCATTAGACACCTTTCTGTGTCTCTCTCTCTCTCTCTCTCCAGCTCTTCACAGAGGTCCTCCAGGATCAAGGGGACCACTGATTCCACCACTGCTGAGTCTCCCACCTCCTCCTTGGGGTAGAGGCCCAATTCGGAGAGGGCTTGGCCCCAGGTCTAGCCCATATGGTCGTGGTTGGTGGGGAGTCAATGCAGAACCTCCTTTTCCGGGGCCAGGCCATGGGGGTCCCACCAGGGGAAGCTTTCACAAGGAACAGAGAAACCCTCGAAGGCTCAAAAGCTGGTCTCTTATCAAGAATACCTGCCCGCCCAAGGATGACCCCCAGGTTATGGAAGGTGAGGTCCATTTTGTTATGCCCATTACTCCCAGAGTGACCTAATTTTCAGAAGATCATTCACAATCTTCTCTGGGCTTTCCTTTTTGCTTTTGAAGCAGAAGTAGACCTCAATGTTATTTCTCCCAGGAGAAAGACTACCATTCCAAAATACCTGGAAATGGTAGGGGGTAGAAAATCAGTTCTCCTTCTGTCTCTGCGTTTCATTGTATTTGTTTTCTTTGTTGCTCAAATTTTTAACTGTTCCATTTTCACTTGTTCACAGACAAATCCGACCGCCCTGTCTGCCGACATTTTGCCAAAAAGGGCCACTGTCGATATGAGGACCTCTGTGCCTTCTACCATCCAGGCGTCAATGGACCTCCTCTGTGAGACTGTGCCTTCCCATCCAGGCTGGAAGGAGCTCTCTGTGACCTAGCGGCCATTTATTTCTCTGTAGCCCTATGATGGCTACTGTGAGGCTCTTCTAACACCCTCAGTCAGTGACACACCCATCCCATCCACCACTTCCCCCGTGTGGGGTCCAGAGTGGTGTTGCATCACTGGTGCGCGGCATACGCGCTTTCTTCTGATCCAGCCTGTAGAGACTCGCCTTTGGGACCCATCTTTGCTTCCTTTCAGTTGCCTCCTGGATCTTCTTTCCCGTCATCAAATGACTGCTGAACAGGAAACCTCTTTGGTGCTGTTTCTTGTGCATCTGTCCACCTGTTCCCCAGTATTGCCCTCAATTCCTGAGAGCCCTGGAGCGGTTTCCTACCATTCCCTTCTTTTAGCTGCTTGTTTTAAGTCCTTTTTATGTGACATTCCCTACCCCCAATGTTGTCAGCTGCTTGTGAAACTCAGCCAGGTTGTCTAACCTGGGGTCAAGTTTGGGTGACTGGTGCAGAGTTACTTCCTAAAAGGCCACTCTCCCTGCCTTTGGATTTCATAGTTTCTCTGTCAGTAGCATGATCCCCACCGCTATGGTCTATCTATGATCACCGTGCTTTGTGAAACTGTGCATCCCCTTGTAGCCTTTCTCAGTGTCCGTGGCATTTTTGTGACTTCCCAGCACTAGAATAAGTTTTCCTGCCAAAATGAGTGAGGCGCTTGGTGCCCTCTGGACTTTCCCACTTCCCAACATGGGAGAATTGTGAACTTTCCATCAGACTGCCTCCCTGGCCCTCCCCATTCTTCTCCTGTTGGTTATTCTGAGTCTGACACAGACCCATGACATGTCTTATAAAGCCTCCAATGGCTTTATCCTACCTAGATCCCTTCCAGCCCATTTTAATTAGACTATGTCATTGTGAGGCCACCAGTCCATTCATTTGAATTCTGTGAATCTCCACCTTGCCTATCTTTGGGTAGAAGCTGGACAGTACTGTTGCCCTCTTCCAATCCTCTTCCCCTACATCCCTGGCACTGGTTGTTTTCTGTGAAAACAGCAGTGAACAGGTTCAGTTTTGAACTGGCCCTGAGGAAATGGGTCAGGAGTTGTATTGGCAAGAGGGAGGGGTGAGAGCTGTTGGAGAACTGAGAATGAGGTTTTTTTTTTTTTTTTCTTTTTAACTTTTTTTATATTAGTAATAAATGCAGTGGAAACCAGCATTTTATTTAATCCCTGTGTTCTAGTCATCTCTGGAGTTGCAGATGAAGCTGTTCTCACCTGGTGGAGTCAGCTTATTCTTTAGTTCATACACACTAGTGATGGGGAATGACAAAGCTTAAGGTTCTTCCAGGCTGAAAAAAACCAATGGAGGTTCCATTAGCCTGTAGGCATCAACCAGAACAAGCTGCCTTATGTTCAAGGGCAAAGTTTTGTAAGAAAAAGGAAAGGCCAGGTGTCCGTGGAGTTATTTTTAAATATTTTACTTTGCAGAGTTTGTGTTTATGGAGTGGTAATGATGAAGGAGTCTTTCAGCAGCAATTTGCAGAATGCCTGTGGGCCAGGCAATATACCAAGCACTAGAGATAACTGACAGCCAAAGCCAATGGATTTAAAATGTACAGGGAAGACAGGTTTCTCATAATCACAAATAGCATGTAAAGTTAAACCTGTCAAAAGTGCTGGGAAGAAGACAGGGAAGAAAAGAGGGTGAAAGAGAGTTGTGTAATAAAGGGAGTCAGGGTAGGAGATGCAACTGAGACAAGCTCCAAAGGATAAACAGGAGGTGGGGTGGGAGAGGGAAGTCAAGGCAAAGGTCTTCGCTAAAAGACCTAGGGGAAGAGGAGCTAAGAAACCTAGGGACAGTGGGAGATGATGCAGAAGAAAGAGGAGTTAGACCACTCAGGGCCTTGGAAAACATGAAGATTTGGCTCTTTTCTTAGAACAGAAGCCTTTGAAGAATTTTAGACAGGAGTATCATGGCTTAGGCTGGCTTTTCAAAAAAAATCAGCTTGTATGGAGAGGGCCCACCTTGGACCTGGAAGTTAATTAGAAGGCTACTGGCTACTTCAGTAGTACAAGTGAGCCATGATGGTGACATAGACTTGGGTAGTAGAGTTGGAGAAAAGTAGACATTTGAAAATTACAGGTCAAAATAAAAGTATCAGATTTCTCCAGGTAGTTCTGGCTTATGTAACTGCCATTTAAAAAGAAGTCTTAAGATAGAAGTTTATGGCTGGGCGCGGTGGCTCACGCCTGTAATCCCAGCACTTTGGGAGGCCAAGGTGGGTGGATCACGAGGTCAGGAGATCAAGACCATCCTGGCTAACATGGTGAAACCCCATCTCTACTAAAAATAGAAAAAAAATTAGCCAGGCGTGGTGGCCGGCGTCTGTAGTCCCAGCTACTCGGGAGGCTGACGCAGGAGAATGGCGTGAACCCAGGAGGCGGAGCTTGCAGTGAGCCGAGATCGCACCACTGCACTCCAGCATGGGCGACAGCGCAAGACTCCATCTCAAAAATAAATAAATAAAAAATAAAAATAAAAATAAATAATTTTTAAAAAGATAGAAGTTTATTTCTCTCACAGGTCAAGAGGTGGACAATCAACAATCCAAGATGTGTGACAATGCCACCACTACAAGGTCCCTGAGTATTCAGAACCTCAACCCCCAACTTTCAGATTCACAACCACAAGCTTCTATTCACTGTCCAAAGTGAAGCTCTGGCTTCCTCATCCATGTTCAAAGCCTCAGGATGGAGGAAGGGCTGAGAACACCAGTTGTCTGGGAAGAAACTTCTTTTTTTTTTTTTTTTTTTTTTTGAGACGGAGTCTCAGCTCTGTCGCCCAGGCTGGAGTGCAGTGGCATGATCTTGGCTCACTGCAAGCTCCGCCTCCCAGGTTCACGCCATTCTCCTGCCTCAGCCTCCCGAGTAGCTGGGACTACAGGCGCCCACCACCATGCCCAGCTAATTTTTTGTGTTTTTAGTAGAGATGGGGTTTCACCGTGTTAGCCAGGATGGTCTCGATCTCCTGACCTGGTGATCTGCTTGCCTCGGCCTCCCAAAGTGCTGGGATTACAGGTGTGAGCCACCACGCCCAGCCGGAAGAAACTTCTTAAAAGTTAACTTATAACTCCTCAACTTATGGGCAAGCATTTAAGTTGAGTTTATTAATTCTACAGAGGTTATCTCCCTAAAAGGGGGCTAGGAATGACAGGATTAGGGTTTGTGTTTGGTGATTTCAAAAGAAACAGGAAATTGTTCTGGCTTAGATGCTGTCAGAAAGATGACTACTTCTTAATCTTATCTAGAAGGAGGGAGAAATGAAATATGGCTAAAGCTGTAAGGTAAAAAAGCCAACACATTTTAGCTGACAGGGAACTGTGTGGTGTTTTTGTGCTTAGACAAGATTTTGAAGTTTGTCTAATTTCATCACAAACACAGGATGACCTTGTTTGACACTGATTTTCTGTGAGATAGTTTATGTTCAACAAGAGTACCATGGCCTAACTATGGGCAACAGGCCAGCTCCCAGCAACACCAAAGCCTGCCAGTTATTGTCAGGCCAGTTCCCAATTCTCAGGGACTGTTTTTCTTAAAAGTATGCAAACATATAATTACAGGTTGAGATGAATCATATGAAGGAAATAAATGGGGTACTGAATAGAAACAGTAGTTGGGGAGCTACTCAAGACATGGTGGCCGGGCGCGGTAGGTCACGCCTGTAATCCCAGTACTCTGGGAGGCTGAGGCGGGTGGATCGCCTGAGGTCAGGAATTCGAGACCAGCCTGGCCAACATGGTGAAACCCTGTCTCTACTAAAATAACAACAACTAGCGAGGCGTGGTGGTGGGCATTTATAAATAATCCCAGCTACTTGGGAGGCTGAGGCAGGAGAATGGCTTGAACCCAGGAAGCAGAGGTTGCAGTTAGCCGAGATTGCACCATTGTACTCCACCCTGGGCAACAGAGCGAGACTCCATATCCAAAAAAAAAAAAGACATGGTGGCTAGGATAGACCTCTCTGAGGAATCTGTAGATGAAGGGCCCAGAACTTAGCCTTGAGGAACTCTGACATTGAATTGCTAAGTGAAGAAGGACAAGGATAAGCCAGACAAGGAGACTAAGGAGGGATGACGGAGAGGCAGGGAGAGATCTCAGAGTGTGGCGTCACCTGGCTGCTTGCTCAGTGCCAGGTACCCTGCTAAGCTCTTTATAGACATTGTCTTTGTCTTATTTAAGCTTCACATACTTTTTTGGGGGGGGAGAGGGGGTGGTTCAAGCGATTCTCCTGCCTCAGCCTCCCGAGTAGCTGGAATTACAGGTGCCCACCACCACACCCGGCTAATTTTTTGTATTTTAGTAGAGATGGGGTTTCACCATGTTGGCCAGGCCGGTCTCGAACTCCTGACCTCAGGTGATCTACCTGCCTCGGCCTCCCAAAGTGCTGGGATTATAGGCATGAGCCACCGCACCTGGCCAAGCTTTGCATACTTTCAGTGAACACTTTAGTGCCTACTGTAGGGCAAGCACTGTTTTAGGAGCTGGAGCTACATCAATAAAAAGGACAAAATCCCTGCCCATATGGAGCTTACATTGCTTTGAGGATGATAGACAATATACATAGGTAATATAATTTTAAGTAATAGTAAATGCTTCAAATGAAAATAAAGTGAAAAAAGAGGTTAGAGAGTGACAGGTGGAAGAGAACAGGTTGATACAAAGAGAGAGCTGCTTTGAGGAGGTAACACATAGAGAGAAAATTAAACGAGGGAACAAACCATATGAACACACAGAGAAAGTGCGTTCCAGGCACAGGGAACAGCAAAGGCAAAGGCCTTGATGCAGGAATGACTCTGGGGTGTTTGAAGTAAAAATAGAAGGCCAGGCCAGGCGTGGTGGTTCATGCCTGCAGTCCCAGCACTCTCAGAGGCTGAGGCAGGAGCACTGCTTGAGCTCAGAAGTTTGAGACCAGCCTGGGCAACATGGTGAGACCCTGTGTCTGCAAAAATGTTTAAAAAGTACCCAGGCCTGGTGGCGTGTGCCTGTAGTCCTAGCTAGTTGGAGGCTGAGGTGGGAGGATCCTTTGAGGTTGCAGTGAGCTATGATTATACCACTACACTCCAGCTTGAATGACAGACCAAGATCCTGGTTCAAAAAAAAAAAAAAAAGCCCAGTGTGGCTAGACTGTGGGAGATGGGATCAAGATGTTTAACAGAGGGCATATTGTACAGAGCCCTATAAACTATGGTAAAGCATTTGGATTTTATTCTGGATTTTATACTTTTTTAAATATTTTTATACTTTGAACAAATGGATTTACTTTTTTTTTTTTTCTTTTTGAGACGGAGTCTTGCTCCATCACCCAGGTTGGAGTGCAGTGGCATGATCTCAGCTCACTGCAACCTCCACCTCCCGGGTTCAAGTGATTCTCCTGCCTCAGCCTCCCAAGTAGCTGGGACTACAGGCGCCCACCACCACGCCTGGCTAATTTTTGTATTTTTAGTAGACACAGGGTTTCGCCATGTTGGCCAGCCTGGTCTTGAACTCCTGACCTTTTGATCCGCCCGCCTCAGCCTCCCAAAGTGCTGGGATTACAGGCGTGAGCCACCGCGATTGGCCCATGGATTTACATTTTAAAACCACCTCTGACTGTAGGTGTGAAGGATAGACTAGAGAATGAGAATGACAGCAGGCAGACCAGTTAGGAGGCCAGCGCAGTGCAGTGGTCCAGGGAGAAGAGACGATGGCTTGGTCAGGGTAGAGGTGGAGAGAAGTGGTTAAATTTGGGTTATGTTTTCGTCTCAGTTGATGGCAATTACATCTTTCTAGTTAACTCAGGCCAGAAATATTGGAGTCATCCTTAATTCTATTTGTCAAACATGACCTCCAATCCATTAACAAAACTTGTTGGCTCTTTTCCAAAATACATTCAGAAACCAGCCCTTTTCACACCTCCACTGCTGTCACCCTAGTCTGAGTCACCATCACCTCCTAATAGATCTCCCTGCTTCTGTCATTTCTGCCCATTCTTTGCTGCCTGCCCCCTCCCACCTCCCGCCCAGGTTGTTCTCAGCACAGCCTCCAGAGTCATCCTTTTTATTTAACAATTTAAAAAATGTTATAGGCCAGGCATGGTGGCTCACGCCTCTAATCCCAGCACTTTGGGAGGCCGAGGCAGGCGGATCACGAGGTCAGGAGTCCGAGACCAGCCTGACCAACATGGTGAAACCCCGTCTCTACTAAAAATACAAAAATGAGCCAGGCATGGTGACGCACGCTTGTAATCCCAGCTACTCAGGAGACTGAGGCAGGAGAATTGCTTGAACCCAGGAGGCAGAGGTTGCAGGGAGCCGAGATCACGCTACTGCACTCCAGCCTGGGCAACAGAGCAAGACTCTGTCTCAAAAAAATAAAATAAAATAAAAATTAAAAAATTGTATTATATACGGAGACAAGGGGTCTCGCTATGTTGCCTGGGTTGGTCACAAACCCCTGGGCTCAGGCAATTCTCCTGCCTCAGCCTCCCAAAGTACTGGCATTACAGGTGTGAGCCACTGCACCTGGCCAGGTCATCCTTTTATTTATTTTATTTTATTTTTTTTTTTTTGAGACGGAGTCTCGCTCTGTCGCCCAACCTGGAGTGCAGTGGCGGGATCTCGGCTCACTGCAAGCTCTGCCTCCTGGGTTCATGCCATTCTCCTACCTCAGCCTCCCCAGTAGCTGGGACTACAGGCGCCCGCCACCTCGCCCAGCTAACTTTTTTGTATTTTTAGTAGAGATGGGGTTTCACCATGTTAGCCAGGATGGTCTCAATCTCCTGACCTCGTGATCCACCCATCTAGGACTTCCAAAGTGCTGGCATTACAGGCATGAGCCACCGCGCCCCAGCCCAGGTCATCCTTTTAAAATGTAGGTTGGATCACATCACTCTGCTCAGAACTCTGCAGTGACTTCCATTTAAATCAACAGAAGAAGCCAAAATCCTTAAGATAATTTAAAAGACCTTTCCCAATCCAGACCCTGCTTTACTTCTCTTTTCACCTTTCCCACAACTCTGGCTCACTCGTGCCACTCCAGCCCCTCTTGCCTCCTTCCTGTTTGTTCCCCATGTATGTCCGAACACTCCTGTCACAGGGCTTTACTCCAGCTGTTTCTTATGCTAGAAAGGCCCTTCTCCTGGAAATCCATGTGGCCAAAACTAATCTTCTTTAATGATTTGCTTGAATTTCACTTTACTGAGGCCTCATTTAAGACTAAAATCTGTCCTCTTGATACTTTTAAACTTGATCCATATTTTCTTTTATCTATAGGATCATCTCCCCTGCTGGAAACCTAATCAGAGATCTTTATTTTATTCAGTAGTATCCCAAGAGCGTAGAAGAGTGCCTGGCACATACTATACACTCAATAAATATATTTGTTGAACAGATGAATGAAAAAATGAGGCAGACTTAGCTGGCTGATGGATTGATTAGGGGAGGAGGAATGGAGAAAGAGGATGATGACCTTTCAGTTTTGGCCCAAATAACTGAATGACCTGTGGTGCAATTTCTTGATGGGGAAGCCTGGAAGAGACAGGCTTTAGGAGTAAGAACAAGAGCTCCATTTTGTACGTATGAGAGAGATTTATTAAAGATCTCAGAGAAGATGTCCCATAAGCAGTTGAATTCATGAGCCTGGAGCTCGGGGCAGAAGTTGGGGGCCAGCAAGAGAAGTTTGGGAATCTTCATTGGTTATAGATGGTATTTAAAGTCAGGAGGTGATAGGTGATAAGTCTAGATTAAGGAGAGTGTCAAAGATTTAGCCCTGAGGCACTTCAACATTTAGACTTCAGGAGAAGCCCATTAGATGCAAAGGAAACCTATAGAGAGTAGTGTCCCTGAAGAAAACAAAGGAGGGAGGGAGCGACCAAGTCTATCAAACATTGATGGGAGAGTGAGTAGGATGGCCCCAGATCTGTTGACTTTGGCAAGTGTGAATTCAGACAATGGTGGCAACAAAAGCATGATTGTAGTGGTTTGAGAGCTGACAGAACTACAGGAGCACCTTGCTCAAGCTCCCATATTAAGTGGTAGAGTTAGAAGTGAACCAAAGTCTTGATTGTGGTGATAGTTTACTGGGTTTATGCAGGTCAAAACTTATTTAAGTGATACTTTGCAGTTTATTTTGGGTGCCATTTTATTTTGTGTACAGTTTATTGTATGTCAATTATATCTCAGTAAAGCTGTTACCAAAAAAAATAAATGAACCGAAGCTCCACTGCACCGTGACTTCTGCATGTTGGGCTCCAGTTCCCTGTTTACAATTGTACACTTCGGGATTTTGTGACACATTTCAACACTGGACCGATCAGACCTCTCCCTTAGCCATTGGTCTGCACTGTCTTTTCTGCCCATGACCCAGTCAGTCTCGCGCCCCATGACCCTCTCCTAAAACACGCGCAGTCTCCTCTCTCTTCCCCTTCCTCTCGTGTCTTCCTTGCCTACCAGCCTCACCTGATGGGCTCGTGTTCTCTCCGTCCCCGATCCACTCGGGCTCCGGCAGCTGCTGCTTGGGCGCCTTCGGCATCGCGGTGGCAGAACTAGAAACGAGTTACAGATAGAAACTAGAATATGCTTTTTAAAAAAACAAAAAACAAAACAAACAAAAAAACAGTATGCCTCAACTCCTTCATACTAGTAGGAAATTATTATGTTCATTCCTTGAGTCTCGCGGCGTCGGGAGGTCACGGCGTCAGGCTTCCCAGACAGTCGTAAACGCCATGTGTTTACGCGACTGGAGCAAGCGGACGCCGGCCCCGCTCCGTCATTGCAGGCCACGCCTCCACTGAACCAGGGCCACGCCCCCGAGATGACGGCGAAGCTCGCACGTGCGCAGCCCGGGGGCGGGGTTGGCCGCGCCAGCTTGGAGAGCCAGCCCCATCGGGGTTCCCCGCCGCCGGAAGCGGAAATAGCACCGGGCGCCGCCACAGTAGCTGTAACTGCCACCGCGATGCCGAAGGCGCCCAAGCAGCAGCCGCCGGAGCCCGAGTGGATCGGGGACGGAGAGAGCACGAGCCCATCAGGTGAGGCTGGTAGGCAAGGAAGAAACGAGCAGAGGGGGAAGAGAGAGGAGACTGCGCGTGTTTTAAGAGAGGGTCATGGGGCACGAGACTGACCGGGCCCCTGCGGGAGTTACTGCGCATGCGTGCCGTGGGCCCGGGAGGAGTTTGCCGGGGAGGAGTGGGTTTGGAATCGGGGTTAAAGGAAAGAGATCCAGATGTCGCACGTGACCTAAGTGAGACTGGGCGAGATAAAAGAAAGAGCATATGGCACCGAGGGAGAGATGGGGAGAAATGGGAAAACCTTGCTTAAAAAATTTGGACATCCGCCCCACCATACACTGTATTCCACCAGGAATATATGAGCCCTGCCTCGACCTCCCCTTCCCCCTGCGCGCGCATACACACACCTTGGGAGCCTGTGATCCCCCTTGTTTCTCAAGAGAGGGTGACTCCTTCATGGTTTCTTTCTTAAGACACCCCTCTCACTCAACTGGAGCAAGAGTGTAGATTTTTGATGTTGGAATGAGGGTTAAGGTTTACTTAAAAAGCAGCGAAAGTTTGTTAAGCGCTTGTTTTTAATTAAGCACTCTATATACTGTGCTTTGAGAGGGGAAGGAAAAAAACATGAAGATATCCTCCCAGGGTTGAAGTCAGTTTTAAGGGGGACATAAATGGACACAACTAACCCCAGTAGGTACACAGTAACTAATTTTAAAAGCACTTATTGGATGCCTACTGTATACCAGGTACTGTGTGGAGGAAGTGGGAATGTAGAGATAAAAGATAAGACTTTCCCTCAAGGGACAACCCAGTATGGTGAAGGGTCAGAGCATTAACCAGACAGACAGTGGTTGTCAGAGTATGATGAAGGTGCTTAAGAATGTTATGGGACTGTAGAAGAGAGGAGGAGCATCTACTCAGACAGGTAAGGGAGTGTCAGCAAAGCCTCCCAAGAATATGTAATAGCTGAGTATTTTTTTTTGAGGCACATTGTAGCTCCATCACCCAGGCTGGAGTGCAGTGGCATGAACATGGCTCACTGCAGCCTCCACCTCCTGGGTTTAAAGGATCTTCCTGCCTCAGTCTCCCAAGTAGTTGAGACTACTGGCATGCACCACCACACCTTATTTTTAAAATTTTTTGTAGACACAAGATCTGGCTATGTTGCCTAGGCTGGTCTCAAACTCCTGGGCTCAAGTAATTCTCCTGCCTCAGCCTCCAAAAGTGCTGGGATTACAGGCGTGAGCCACTACATCTGCTCCCCAGAGTTTATTCTTGAAAGATCATCGTGAATTAGCAAGGGGAAGCGCATTCCAAGCCAAGGAAGTTTGTGGAAGGTAGAGATGTAGGCAAGCCTGACTGGTCCCACTAGAGCCTGGTGACTAGTGTGATGAAGTCAGAAAGATGCTCAGGAGACAGATAATGAAAGGCTTTAGATGCCATTCCGAGGAGTTTAATCCTAAAGACATTAAGAAGGAAGGCCCATTGAAGTGCATAAGGAATGATTATGAACAGTTCACCTGTAGCACTGAGCAATGGAGAATGAATGGCCTTGAACTGGTCAAGATGGAGGCGGGGAGACCATTTAGGGGGCTCTGGCCATGATCTAGGTGAGAAGTGGTAAGGGGATAAGCCAAGGCCTGAAGAATAAAGAGTTACTAAGGAGGCGGCATTGATCGGAACTGAGAACTGATTAAATGAAGGGAGAAGTAAGGTTGACACTTAAGTAACCCAGTGACTAGTAGACTATTAACTGAAAGCAGTAATGGACAGGAGAGTAAGAAGTGGAAAGAGATAAGGTGAACTTCTGAATGCTGAGTTAGGCGTTTCTGAGGATTTCTAAAAGGAAATGGCAAGAAGAGAGTTTGTTTAGTCACTGTGGAGAGACAACTATACTAGGAGTAAAGACACAGGCAAGTAGAGTTGAAGTGCTGGATATGGAAGAGTCCCCTAGAGAGTGTTTGCAGATTGAACCAAAAAGAAGGTTAAAGGTGGGAACCCTAAAGAACTTCAGCAATTGCAGGAAGCAGGTGGGGAAGGAGGCTGAAGAGATGAGACTGAGAAAGGCAAACAGCCAGAGAAACTGGAGGCAAACCAGGAGTGAGCAAGATCCCAGAAATTAAATAATGATAGAAGAGAATAAAAAAGGTGTGGAGGTAGGCAGCATGGAATGCTGCAGAGAAGTCAGGCAAAATAAGGACCAAAAAATACTTTGTGGTTTGAGGAGCTAAGGGTTCAGTGGCAACTTTGGCAGAAGTAGTGTTCATTCGGAGATGATACCAGATTGCAGTATGTTTCAAAGGTATGGGAGAAGAGAAAGTGAAGCTTGTGAATTACGATTTTGAGACCCAATGAGGACAAGAATACGAAACAGTAATGGGGGAGAGGGGTATAAGGGTAAAGAAGGCTTGCTTTCTTGCCTTGAAGGAGCAGCTTAAGCGATATACGAAAGGAGAGAAGACACAGTATATCTCTAGCCACACTTAATCTTTTTCAGTTCCTTGGGGATTATACTTTCTCACAATGAAACTCTTCAGAGGCTTTTCCTGTCCCTATAATGAAGTGGATAAGAGTGATTAAAGTACAAAAGATTTTTTTGGTTTTGGTGGGTTTTTTTTTTTTGTGACGGAGCCTCACTCCAGGCTGGAGTGCAGTGGCGCGATCTCAGCTCACTGCAGCCTCAATCGCAGGCTCAAGCCATCTTCCCTTGTAGCTGGGACTACAGGCACACACCGCCATGCCTGGCTTATTTTTTGTTTGTTTTTGTTTTTTGTTTTCTGTAGAGATGAGGTCTTGCTATGTTGCCCAGGCTAATCTTGAACCTCTGGCCTCAACCAGTCCTCCCACCTTGGTCCCCAAAATGTTGGGATTACAGGCGTGAGCCAGTGTGCCTGGCCACAAAAGAGATTTAAAGGAAGGAGAGATGGTATGGCTGTGTTAGTCCTTGGGGAGAAATTAGTGTCTGGGATGAGTCAGTCATCTGTGTTGATAAGGTGAGCTGATCAGGTTTTTCCTTCTTAGGTACTTCAGTAGATCCTTCCTCCTAATGCCTTTAGGATTAAACTCCTTGGAATAGCATATAAAGCCTTTTATTATTAATCCTGCACAATTTTTCAACTCTCACACTAGTCACCCAATACTGGGCTCAGATTTTTTTTCTTTAACTTTTTTGTTTGTTTTTTGTGGTTTGTTTTTTGGGGAGGAGGAGGGCCCCAAACTTTGAAATGTGTTCTGGATGGAGGATGCAGATTAAGCAAAGACAGACATAAGCGTGCCTGGGACTTCATAAAGGAACAGAAAGAAGCCAGTATCGAGACCAGAGGTGTGGGTAGGGAAACAGAAAAGATAGGGTAGGGCCATTTTAGTCTGTGAAGCCTTTAATTATTGGAATTGTCTCTCGTTAACTCTAGTTTTTTGGAGAAGTAGATGCACCATAAAACTTTCCTGAATAAATGATTACTTTGAAATACATGGAATTCTAGTCTGAGAATATTTTAATGTAGTAGATGGCGGATACCATTGACTTTTTTTCTTTTTTTTTTTTTTTTTTGAGACAGTCTCGCTGTGTCACCCAGGCTGGAGTGCAGTGGCGCGATCTTGGCTCACTGCAACCTCCACCTCCCAGGTACAAGCGATTCTCCTGCCTCAGCTTCCCAAGTAGCTGGGACTACATGCGTGCTCTGCCACGCCCAGCTAATTTTTGTATTTTTAGTAGAGATGGGGTTTCACCATGTTGGCCAAGCTGGTCTCAATCTCCTGACCTTGTGATCCACCCACCTTGGCCTCCCAATGTGCTGAGATTACAGGCCTGAGCCGCCGCACCCGACCAATTTTTTTTTTTTTAATATTAAATACTGAAATGCTTAAGGGTAGAATTAGATAGCAGTGAATGGAAGGGATGTTTTGGAAGAGAAGATAATAAATAGGCCTAAGCCTGAAGGGAAATCATGAGGCTGCCTCCAGTAGGGGAGGGAGTTGGACATGGTCCTCTACCTTCAGGGAAACAAGGATGGAGAGGGGGAGAGCTAGAATCTGTTGAATCTGTTTTGGCTTTACTGGGAACACAGGCTAAACAGTCTCTCAGGTTACTCTCTAGAATGAAAGCACACAGACAGGTAAATATGACACAATGTGATTTGTGCTATAATATTCAAGCAGAACAAGTAAGGCATAGACTGAGGTGTTCATTTGCTTACCAGATAACTCTATTTACATGGCCTATAGGTTTTACAAACAACGTGTCCCCCTGGCCAGGCACAGTGGCTCAGGCCTATAATTCCAACAGTTTGGGAAGCTGAGGCAGGAGAATTGCTTGAGGCCAGAGGTTCAGGATTAGCCTGAGCAACATAGTGAGACCTCCTCTCTAAAAATTATTATTTTTTTAATTAGGCAGGCATGGTGGCGCTTGCCTGTAGTCCTAGCTACTCAGGAGGCTAAAGTGGGAGGATCACCTAAGCCTAGGAATTTAAGGTTACAGTGAGTTATGATCATGCCACTGCATTCCAGCCTGGGTGACAGAGCAAGACCCTGTCTCTTAAAAAAAAAAAAAAAAAAAGGAGGGTGTGTGTGTGTTGTATACATGTGTGTGTATCTACACATATCTCCCAAATTGAATTTATAATATCTTCTTCCTTCCTATAAGACCTTCTCTTCCACTGCCTCCTTAATTAATAAATGGTACCACTTAGCCCAGCTAATTTTGCCAGCTAAAAACACAGGAGTCATCTCTGAGTGCTCTTTTTTTTTTTTTTTTTTTTTTTTTTTTTGAGATAGAGTCTTGCTCTGTCACCCAGGCTGCAGTACAATAGCGTGATCTCAGCTCACTGCAACCTCCGCCTCCTGGGTTCAAGCAATTCTCCTGTCTTAGCCTCCTGAGTAGCTGGGATTACAGGCGCCCGCCACTATGCCTGGCTAATTTTTTGTATTTTTAGTAGAGACTGGGTTTCACCATGTTCACCAGACTAGTCTTGAACTCCTGACCTCAAGTGATCCGCCTGCCTCTGCCTCACAAAGTGCCGGGATTACAGGCATGAGCCACCGCGCCCGGCCGGGTGCTCTTTATTCCCCACCTCTAGCCCCATCCTATGAATTCTTCTTTATGTCCGCTTGTCACCACCACCCAGACTACTCTGACAGCCTCCCCAGTGGATTTCCCACTATGCTTATTCCCTCCGATTCTTGCTGTACTCTGAAGCCAGAGTGAAACTTTAAAGTGTGAAAGTGATCATACCAATAAAGTCCCCATTCCTTAACCTTGCTACAAGGCCCTCACTCCAGCCTTACCTTGCACCATTCTCCCCTCAGTCTGTAAGCTTAGCCATACCAAACCTTTCCCTGTCTCTCAGTGTGTGTGCTTTCTCACAGCTGGGCCTGTGCACAGCACTGGAATTACACCATGTGTCTGACTAACTTCTCATACTCCTCATTACTTCAGTTATTTGCTTAAATGCCATCTTCTTAGAGAGGCCGCCACCAGAGATGAAGCCAGCCTCTCCCCCACCACCAAGTAGGCTTTACCTTTTCTTTTGGAACCTTCAGTACACCTGGAATTACCTATTTAAAAATCTCTCTTCCTATAGCCTGCAAGCTCCAGAGGAGACCACATTTGTCTTGTTCATTGCTATGATCCCCTACGCTAGCACAATATCTGACACATGGTAGCTGTTTAGTAGATACTTAGTGGATGAATGAATAGAGATGGGAATGATTATTTCTGCAGGAGTTGTGAGACAGTACAAATATTTAAGGAGTGATAGTTAAGCTAGAAAAATAATAAAATAGGATAGAGGCTACAGAGATCTTTGCAGGGGGGATCAGACTGCTTTGGAATTTGCAGATAAGCATTCACGATGTCCGCTTAACTTTCTAGACAAAGTGGTGAAGAAAGGGAAGAAGGACAAGAAGATCAAAAAAACGGTGAGAAAATGAGGGTTGAGGATAAGAAATGACTATGGATGTTTCCAAGCTAAATAAATAGCCATGTGAAGGAGGTGGGAGGTCCAAGGGAGGAGAAAAGATCTTGTCAAGAGAGGAGATAGGCAGGGCACGGTGGCTTACACCTGTAATCCCAGCGCTTAGGGAGGCAGAGGTGGGAGGATAGCTTAAGCCCAGGAATTTGAGACCTGCACACTCCATTCTCCACAAAAAGAAAAAAAAGAGAGAGACAGGAGGTAAGGTGAGGGTGGAGTGGAGGGCCAGTGGGCCAATGTGTGGCAGAGCACAGCCTGCTTGGATTGCTCTTGGAAACATGTTTACCTGTAGCTTAACTCCCTTTATAGTTCTTTGAAGAGCTGGCAGTAGAAGATAAACAGGCTGGGGAAGAAGAGAAAGTGCTCAAGGAGAAGGAGCAGCAGCAGCAGCAACAGCAACAGCAGGTACAAGTGCCACAGGGCCCACCAATCCTGGGAGGCATCTGGGTTCCACCAACCCCTTTCCAGCCCATGTTGCTCCATTCAGCTGATGGGGAACCCTCTGTGAGGCAGAAATACAGCAGGGGCCTGGGCTTCATTTTCTCACTGTTCTTTTGCTCTCAGCAGCAAAAAAAAAAGCGAGATACCCGAAAAGGCAGGCGGAAGAAGGATGTGGATGATGATGGAGAAGAGAAAGAGCTCATGGAGCGTCTTAAGAAGCTCTCAGTGCCAACCAGTGATGAGGAGGATGAAGGTAAATGACCTGAGGGGGAATGGGTACCTGGAATCCATGAGTCATGGAGAGTGATACCTCATACCCTGATCTTCAAGTTGGATTCAATTGGGGGGCCAGACATTGTAATTCTTTCCTATCTCATGTTCTCCCCCTGTCATTTCAGTACCCGCCCCAAAACCCCGCGGAGGGAAGAAAACCAAGGTAAGCCATCTGTGTGGTAAACGGAGACTCCAAGGATGCAACCTTGACCATCCTACTGACTTCTGTGGCCCTTTCATTCTCTAGGGTGGTAATGTTTTTGCAGCCCTGATTCAGGATCAGAGTGAGGAAGAGGAGGAGGAAGAAAAACATCCTCCTAAGCCTGCCAAGCCGGAGAAGAATCGGATCAATAAGGTGACAGTGGTGGCTCGATCAGTCACTCTCACTCCATTTAGCACCTTCTGGCCATGGTGGAGTAATTTCCCGCTTTTAAACTAGCTCTTCTCGGTCTGTCTTACTTATACTGTTAAAATCATCTTTTTAGAATACATGCCCAGGCTGGGCACAGTGGGTCACGCCTGTAATCCCAGCACTTTGGGAGGCCGAGGTGGGCGAATCACGAGGTCAAGAGATCGAGACCAGCCTGACCAACATGGCGAAACCTCATCTCTACTAAAAATACAAAAATTAGCCAGGCGTGGTGGCGTGCGCCTGTAATCCCAGCTACTTGGAAGGCTGAGGCAGGAGAATCACTTGAACTTGGGAGGTGGAATTTGCAGTGAGCTGAGATTGAGGCACTGCACTCCAGCCTGGGCAACAGAGCAAGACTCAGTCTCAAAAAAAAAACAACAAAAAAAACCATGCCATTTTTATCACTCAGAAATCTACAGTGATTCTGTTGCTTTAAGCACAGAACCTGAAACAAAGCCCCAGGTCCTTGCTCTTCTACTTGTGACTCTTCTGCGTGTGCATCTTAGTCCATGTCCATTTGAGCTCTTGAGAAAGCCTCCAGTGCTAGTGCCACTCACTCTGGTGGCGCACTTGCCTGACTTATAATCCTTAGCCTTGCTGACGTTCCCTAGTTATCTCTTCGCTATCTAGTCTGAAGCTGGAGGGTAGGGTTTTTCTGGGTCTCATTTTTCGTCAGCAGCACTCAATACAGATGGTCTCCAACTTCTGCTTCGGTGTACGATTTTTCTACTTTATGATGGTGTGAAAGTCATACTCATTTAGGGTACTCCTCAACTCATGATGGGATTATATCCAGATAAACCCATCATAAGTTGGAACTATTTTTTTTTTTTTTTTTTTTTGAGACGGAGTCTCACTCTGTTGCCAGGCTGGAGTGCAGTGGCGTAATCCTGGCTCACTGCAACCTCCGCCTCCCGGGTTCAAGTGATTCTCCTGCCTCAGCTTCCTGAGTAGCTGAGATTACAGGCACGTGCCACCACGCCCAGCTAATTTTTGTGTTTTTAGTAGAGACAGGGTTTCACCATGTTGACCAGGATGGTCTCGATCTCTTGACCTTGTGATCCACCTGCCTTGGCCTCCCAAAGTGCTGGGATTACAGGTGTGAGCCACCACGCCCGGCCAAGAACTATCATTTTTTATTTAAGTTTCTGGTGGGTTTATCGGGATGCAACCTGTCGTAAATGGAGGAGCATGTGTATGGTTAACACAGTAGACTCTCTAGAAATGCTTATTACACAGCAAAGTAGCACAATAATTTGTATGTATGTGTGTAATGTGTATGTGTGTCTCCTCCAGGCCGTATCTGAGGAACAGCAGCCTGCACTCAAGGGCAAAAAGGGAAAGGAAGAGAAGTCAAAAGGGAAGGCTAAGGTGAGAGAGTAACTAGCAGGAGGAGGTATTGGGGCCCAGGAATTAAAACATTTCATCAGGGCTGGGCGCGGTGGCTCACGCCTGTAATCCCAGCACTTTGGGAGGCCGAGGTGGGCGGATCACGAGGTCAGGAGATCGAGACCATCCTGGTAACACGGTAAAACCCCGTCTCTACTAAAAATACAAAAAAAATTAGCCGGGCGTGGTGGCGGGCGCCTGTAGTCCCAGCTACTCGGGAGGCTGAGGCAGGAGAATGGCGTGAACCCGGGAGGTGGAGCTTGCAGTGAGCCGAGATTGCGCCACTGCACTCCAGCCTGGGTGACAGAGCGAGACTCCGTCTCAAAAAAAAAAAAAGAAAAAAAAAAAAAACATTTCATCAGACCTGTCTTTTCCCTATTAGCCTCAAAATAAATTCGCTGCTCTGGACAATGAAGAGGAGGATAAAGAAGAAGAAATTATAAAGGAAAAGGAGCCTCCCAAACAAGGGAAGGAGAAGGCCAAGAAGGCAGAGCAGGTGTGTATTTGGTGTTGGGGCAAGGTGGAATGAGGGACTAGGGCTTCCAGGGTCCTTATGGGAGAGTTAGAATCTGGGGATATAGTTATTATCCCAGCAAACCTTTATTCTTTTCTTTTTTTGGGGGAGTAGTTGGGGTGGTGGTTCGTTTGTTTTTGTTTTTGTTTTTGTTTACACAGGATCTTACTCTGTCACTCAGGCTGGAGTGCAGTGGTGTGAACACGGCTCACTGAAGCCTCAACCTCCTGGGCTCAACAGATTCTCCTGCCTCAGCCTACTGAGTAGCTGGGACTACAAGTGTGCACCACTACCCCTGGCTAATTTTTTTATTTTTAGTATAGAGATGAGGTCTCACTATGTTGCTCAGGCTGGTCTTGAATTTCTGGGCTCAAGCAGTCCTCCTGCCTCAGCCTCCCAAAATGCTGGGTTTACAGGTGTGAGCCAGCATGCCAGCCAGCAAACTTTTTCTATAAAGGGCCATATAGTAAATGTTTTTGGCTTTGCAGGCCACATACAATCTCTATCACATATTCTTTTTTTTTTTTAACAACTCTTTGAAAATACAAAAATTATTTTTATAAAGTTCAGGAGCTATATAAAAATAAATGTCAGGTCAGCCTTGGCCCATGGGCTGTAGTTTGCAACACCTAATCCAGTGAAGAAAGGGCCTGGAATTTATCTCAGATGATCTGGGTCCTGGCTCTGCCTTCACTGGCTGTGTGACCTTGAATACATCTTCCCATCCCCTTGGGTCTCACTTGTCTCCTTTGTGTGATAGAAGGAGGAGTCCGGAGATCTCTAGGGTCCCTATGCGTCTGGCACTTCCTAATTCTGTGATTCTGCTGGATTCCTCTGACTGTGCACTAGAGCTTCCTGATCTTTTTTTTTTTTTTTTTTTTTTTGAGATGGAGTCTCACTCCGTTGCCCAGGCTGGAGTGCGGTGGCGCAATCTCAGCTCACTGCAACCTCTGCCTCCCGGGTTCAAGCAATTCTTCTGCCTCAGTCTCCCGAGTAGCTGGGACTACAGGCACGTGCCACCATGACCGGCTGATTTTTTGTGTTTTTAGTAGAGACAGGATTTCACCATGTTAGCCAGGATGGTCTTGATCTCCTGACCTTGTGATCTGTCCATCTTGGCCTCCCAAAGTGCTGGGATTACAGACATGAGCCACCGTGCCCGGACGGCTACCTGATCTTTTCTTTGCATGTTAACAAGGAAACCACAGAAACTCATTTTATACAAATGAAACTCTTGAAATCCATTTACTCCACCTTCAGTTACATTGTATTGGGAGTTACATTTATAGGGACATAACGCGTTGTCACATTTCATAAATACACATTCATACCATTTGTCTTGTACCATTCCTGGTAGCAGAAATTAATAAAGGACCTCAGGGAGACCAGGGGCTGGGTATGAGAATGAGAGAGGATCCCAAGATATTTTAGGACTCTGAGTAGTGAAGGAAAGAGCTGGGGCAGGGACAGGGGGCAGATGATGTGAAATCTGAGTTCTAGAAGGAGTCCCTAGTTTTTTTTTGTTGTTTTTTTTTTTGAGACGGAGTCTTGCTTTGTCACCCAGGCTGGAGTGCAGTGGCACGATCTCGGCTCACTGCAAGCTCCTCCTCCCAGGTTCACACCATTCTCCTGCCTCAGCCTCCCGAGTAGCTGGGACTACAGGCGCCCGCCACCACGTCCGGCTAATTTTTTGTATTTTTAGTAGAGATGGGGTTTCACCATGTTAGCCAGGATGGTCTTGATCTCCTGACCTTGGGATCTGCCCGCTTTGGCTTCCCAAAGTGCTGGGATTACAGGCGTGAGCCACCGCGCCCAGCCAGGAGTCCCTAGTTTTGACCATCCCCGGGTTCTCACAGGGTTCAGAGGAAGAAGGAGAAGGGGAAGAAGAGGAGGAGGAAGGAGGAGAGTCTAAGGCAGATGATCCCTATGCTCATCTTAGCAAAAAGGAGAAGAAAAAGCTGAAAAAACAGGTAAGACCTTGGTTCTTAGCGGTCAAAAGTAGGGGATTTTTAAATACTTCAACTAGGGGACATGCGATTGGGGACACGAAGGAAAGGTTTGGGGGCTACTCCAAGTAAAACAATCGGAGTAAGAAAATAATTGTGTTCTGTGAACCTTATCTCAATGTCTGATGACATGGGCTGTTTCACTTTGGGGTTTTTTGTTTATTTTTTGAGACAGGGTCTCACACTGTTACTCAGGCTGGAGTGCAATGACGTGATCTCTGTTCACTGCAGCCTCAACCTACCAGGCTCAAGTGATCCTCCCACCTCAGCCTCCCGAATAGCTGAGACTATGGGTGGCACCACCATGCCTGGCTAATTTTTGTATTTTTTGTAGAGACAGTATTTTAGCATGTTGGCCAGGCTGGTCTCAAACTCCTGAGCTCAAGAGATCCACCTACCTCAGCCTCCCAGAGTGCTGGGATTACAGGCGTGAGCCAGCATGCCCAGCCAGCATGGGCTGTTTCATGGTGATGGGAAACTGGTAGACTGTGGCTTCAAATGTAGTTTTTCCTACCTTCTCAGATGGAGTATGAGCGCCAAGTGGCTTCATTAAAAGCAGCCAATGCAGCTGAAAATGACTTCTCCGTGTCCCAGGCGGAGATGTCCTCCCGCCAAGCCATGTTAGAAAATGCATCTGACATCAAGGTAAGGTCTCAAGGGGCCCCTTCCAGTCCACTTACCTAGGGAAGAGCCAGTTCTCTCATCTTCCCTGAGTGGCTGTGGTGTGTGAATGGGTTAGTTCAGTGGGAAGAAAGATTGGAGGCATTTTCCACACCTTAGGTTCTGCCAACTTGAGCAAGAAGATAGAAAAACCAGTAGAAGTGGGGTCCACCCTTGGCAGAAAATAGTGTGGGACAGACTAGACTAGCTGAGGATGCATGGGGCTCCCATTACAGGCAGCGAACAGGGCGGGGACCGGCTGTGGGGAGAGGAAGGGGATTATGCTGGAGGTAGCGGTTTGTCAGAGGCTTCCCTGCAGGGAGAAAGTGGCCGCTCCTGTCCCAAAGGGAGAATTTTCATGTGATCATCCCTTCCCTCTGCCACCTCTTTCCTGATGGCTGCAGCTGGAGAAGTTCAGCATCTCCGCTCATGGCAAGGAGCTGTTCGTCAATGCAGACCTGTACATTGTAGCCGGCCGCCGCTACGGGCTGGTAGGACCCAATGGGTGAGAAGAGGAGGGAGCTGGAGGCAAAAAAGGGCCTGGAGGGAAAAGAAGAGATTTCTCAGTGGTGGCCAGGTCCTAATAGCTTTTATTCCCCAGCAAGGGCAAGACCACACTCCTCAAGCACATTGCCAACCGAGCCCTGAGCATCCCTCCCAACATTGATGTGTTGCTGTGTGAGCAGGGTGAGACCACTGGGGAGAAAAGGGGCTTGGTGGGGTGGGCAGTTGGGTAGAAAAGCCAGCCAGCCAAGAATAGAAGAAATTGTGGCTATGGAGTTGGAAGGGATGTGGAGGGAGACTGGAGACCGGGAAAGGGATGCTAAGGAAAGGAGGGGAGGGTCAATGAGGAACTTGAGAGTGTTTTATTTGGAACAAGTACAAAGAGCTGGGCAGGGTCAGGCAAAACAGAAATGTAATTGAAGGGAAAGAAAGATGAGACTCTTGGCTCTTGAGGCTGCCTGACTGTTCTCCCTCTGCCTCCCAGAGGTGGTAGCAGATGAGACACCAGCAGTCCAGGCTGTTCTTCGAGCTGACACCAAGCGATTGAAGCTGCTGGAAGAGGAGCGGCGGCTTCAGGGACAGCTGGAACAAGGGGATGACACAGCTGCTGAGAGGCTAGAGAAGGTAGAGGAGATGGCGCAGGGGACACGGGCAAAGACTTGGGGGTTCCTGGGACCCTCAGACGTGTGTCCTCTTCTCCCTCCTCCCAGGTGTATGAGGAATTGCGGGCCACTGGGGCGGCAGCTGCAGAGGCCAAAGCACGGCGGATCCTGGCTGGCCTGGGCTTTGACCCTGAAATGCAGAATCGACCCACACAGAAGTTCTCAGGGGGCTGGCGCATGCGTGTCTCCCTGGCCAGGTGGGCCATTCACCTCACTGCCCTCCCTTCCAGCCTCAGACCACCGGGGCCCTTTTCCTCTTTCCCTTCTCATTCTTCCAAGGCCAATAGGGAGGCTCAAGGCTTACCTCTCCCTCCTTACTATCTGTGTTGTGAGAACTTAGGGTCTTTCTCTATTTATCTCCCTACTTGGTGGTGAGTTCTCATCAACATACCCTGCAGCTGGGTGCAATGGGTCACGCCTGTAATCCCAGCACTTTGGAAGGCAGAGGCAGGAGGATTATCTTCAACCCAGGAGTTTGAGACCAGCCTGGGCAATATAGTGAGACTCTATCTTCACAAAAGGGGGAAGAAAACATATCCTAGCCTGGGCAACATAGGGAGACCCTGTCTCTACAAAAAATTTAAAGATCAGCTGGATATGGTGGCGCACGCTGTGGTCACAGCTACTCTGGAGGCTGAAGTAGAAGTATCACTTAGACCTGGGAGATTTAGACTACAGTGAGCCCTTATTGTGCCACTGCACGACAGCCTGGGCAACAGGGCGAGACCCTGTCTCAAAAAAATTAAACCGTATCCTGCCCGAGAACTTCTCTGAGGAGAGCTTGGGAAGGAGTGTTCATGGTCTCAGGCTCTATCTCCGAGTTTTCTCTGGGGTTGTCTGAGCAAGGATCTTTCTCTCCCTGACCCTGCCCTCTGCTACCCACCCTCTAGGGCACTGTTCATGGAGCCCACACTGCTGATGCTGGATGAGCCCACCAACCACCTGGACCTCAACGCTGTCATCTGGCTTAATAAGTGCGTTACGGCCTTTGCATCATTGGTTCCCATTCTGCACTTTCTTCCCCTTCCCTCCCTGCCCTGTTTTCCTTTAGCCCTTCTCCACTGTGCCTGTGAGTGGAGCTCTATTCAGACCCCCCTTTCCCTCCCAGCCCCCGTTGTCTGCCTGCTTCCTCTGAATTCTCTCTCACTTGACCACTGTGACACTTACACCCTGTTCTCTGAAACCCAGCTACCTCCAGGGCTGGCGGAAGACCTTGCTGATCGTCTCCCATGACCAGGGCTTCTTGGATGATGTCTGCACTGATATCATCCACCTCGATGCCCAGCGGCTCCACTACTATAGGGGCAATTACAGTAAGTAGGATTGTGTGTGGATGCAGGGAAGAGATAGAACCTCGAAAAGAGGCCTGAGTGGGAGGGCCTATTTAGATAAACTGAATCCTGTCAGAATTCCAGACAGTGATGCCTACCCCATCACCACCAGTCCCTGGTTGTCCCTTTGCTGGGAAGAGGAGCAACCACTGATGCCTGGTCCCCTCTTCTGCCCCAGTGACCTTCAAAAAGATGTACCAGCAGAAGCAGAAAGAACTGCTGAAACAGTATGAGAAGCAAGAGAAAAAGCTGAAGGAGCTGAAGGCAGGCGGGAAGTCCACCAAGCAGGCGGTGAGCACCTGA
The DNA here is from genome assembly GCF_000001405.40 of Homo sapiens. Taxonomy (NCBI): domain Eukaryota; kingdom Metazoa; phylum Chordata; class Mammalia; order Primates; family Hominidae; genus Homo; species Homo sapiens. Next base: position 1,930,050 of record NT_167247.2, read on the forward strand.
GGGACTTCTGGGCTGGGGGCCACTGTTCTCTCCTGGCAGTGGAGGAAGAAGGAGACTCTGGAACGCTGGCCTACATTTCAAGGACTGCCGCGCAGGGCTCAGGTTTCTCTTTTTTCCTCTTCCTCTCCAGGAAAAACAAACGAAGGAAGCCCTGACTCGGAAGCAGCAGAAATGCCGACGGAAAAACCAAGATGAGGAATCCCAGGAGGCCCCTGAGCTCCTGAAGCGCCCTAAGGAGTACACTGTGCGCTTCACTTTTCCAGACCCCCCACCACTCAGCCCTCCAGTGCTGGGTCTGCATGGTGAGTGCCGCGGGCCTCTGCTGCTCCACAGGAAGCACCGGAAGCATGTATGTGCACCCTAAATTCTCCACCAAGGCTGAGATTGCTCCTGTTCTCCAAGGCCAGCACATGAGAGGGACTTTGCAGGGACTGAAAAGAATATAAATTGCTTCTTTTCGTGGCTTTCAGGTGTGACATTCGGCTACCAGGGACAGAAACCACTCTTTAAGAACTTGGATTTTGGCATCGACATGGATTCAAGGAGTGAGTTGGCGGGGTTGCCTCAGGGATGTGTAGCAGGAGCCACAGGGAGAGTCTCTGGGGACCTCTTTGACCACCTGTCTTCCATCTTGCAGTTTGCATTGTGGGCCCTAATGGTGTGGGGAAGAGTACGCTACTCCTGCTGCTGACTGGCAAGCTGACACCGGTGAGTCCTGGAGCCAAGGAGGGAGAGCATGAGAAATGTGAAGACACAGCTGCTTTTGCCAGAAGCTGGAATCAGGGAGCCTCTCGAGAATGTAGAGTTAAATACAGAACTCATGATAGATGATTCATTTCCCTAAGAGGGGCAGTAGAGGAGGAAAGAGCTTAGATCAGTTCAGGGGGGAGAGCTAAGAGAATTAAGATAGAACTAGGGGGCACACCCACGTGTTTTGGTTATACAAGAAATATATGTCTTTTATAGAACGATTAAAAATTGCATAAACGGGCCAGGCACAGTAGCTCACTCCTATAATCCCAGCAGGGATCACCTAAGGTCAAGAGTTCCAGACCAGCCTAGCCAACATAGTGAACCCCGCCTCTACTAAAAATACAAAAATTAGCCGTGTGCGGTGGCGCGCACCTATATCCTAGCTACTCAGGAGGCTGAGGCAGAATTGCTGGAACCTGGGAGGCGGGGGTTGCAGTGAGCTGAGATTGCACCATTGCACTCCAGCCTGGGCAACAGAGCGAGACTCCATCTCAAAAAAAAAAAAAAAAATTGGCCTGGCGTGGTGGCCCACGCCTATAATCCCAACTCTTTGGGGGAGGCTGAGGCAGGCAGATCACTTGAGCTTAGGAGTTAAAAACCAGCCTGAGCCCAGTGTGGTGGCTCACACCTGTAATCCCAACACTTTGGGAAGCCGAGGTGGGAGATCACCTGAGGTCAGGAGTTTGAGACCAACATGAAGAAACCCCATCTCTACTAAAAATACAAAATTAGCCAGACGTGGTTGCACATGCCTGTAATCCCAGCTATTTTGGGAGGCTGAGGCAGGAGAATCACTTGAACCCAGGAGGCAGAGGTTGCAGTGAGCTGAGATTGCGCTATTGCACTCCAGCCTGGGCAACAAGAGCAAAACTCCGTCTAAAAAAAAAAAACAGACCAGCCTGAGCAACATGGTGAAATCCCATCTCTACTAAAAATACAAAAATTAGCTGGGTATGTTGGTGCACGACTGTAGTCCCAGCTACTCGGGAGGCTGAGGTAGGAGAATTGCTTGAGTCCAGGGGGCAGAGGTTCCAGTTAGCCGAGGTCGTGCCACTGCACTCCAGTCTAAGTGACAGAGTGAGGCTCTGTCAAAAAAAAAAAAAAAATGCTTAAGTCAAGAGAAAAATCTGGAGATAACCAGTTTTTTTTTTTTGTTATTTTGTTTTGAGACGGAGTCTCACTGTCGCCCAGCCTGGAGTGCAGTGGTGCGATCTTGGCCCACTGCAACCTCCACCTCCCAGGTTCAAGATATTCTCCTGCCTCAGCCTCCTGAATAGCTGGGATTATAGGTACGCCCCACCATGCCCAGCTACTTTTTGTATTTTTAGTAGAGACAGGGTTTCACCATGTTGGTCAGGCTGGTCTCGAACTCCTGACCTTGTGATCCGCCCGCCTCAGCCTCCCAAAGTGCTGGGATTACAGGCGTGAGCCACCGCTCCCAGCTGAGATAACCAGTATTAATGTTTTAGTGGATATCTTTCTCCTTTTTTCTTTGCAAATGTGCATATAATTTTTAACAAAAATGGGCTGTCATATGAGTTGTTGTGTAGCTAGATTTTTCCAAATATATCAAGCATTTTTCCATGCAATTACTTATTTCATATGAGTCTACCTTTTTTTTTTGAGACAGAGTCTCACTCTGTCACCCAGGCTGGAGTGCAGTGGCACAGTCTTGGCTCACTGCAACCTCCGTCTCCTGGGTTCACGCGATTCTCCTGCCTTAGCCTCCCGAGTAGCTGGGACAACAGGCGCGTGCTACCACGCCCAGCTAATTTTTTGTATTTTTAGTAGAGATGGTTTCACCGTGTTAGCCAGGATGGTCTTGATCTCCTGACCTCATGATCTGCCTGCGTCGGCCTCCCAGAGTGCTGGGATTACAGGTGTGAGCCACCACGCCCGGCAAACTCTACCATTTTATTTGAACTTTTGTAATATATTGCCATCTAGTGTGTTAGAAAGTTTGTAGCCATTTCTGCTCTCTCTAGCAGTGTTGAGAGGCCATTTTCTCATATCCAGAGATTAGATCTTTAGAAAGGTATTATTAGATTCTCCCCAAAACACTAAACTTGCCACATGAGGCCCTTACGATGTACCATTCGTGAGTCTCGCTGTATGGAGAGCAGGTGTTCTTTGGCTGTGGTTAGTCCCTCCTGCTTGTCCCTCTTGTCCTCCATTTTGCTTAACTCCCCTTTTGTCCCTTAACTCTTTTACTTTGCTCACCATGCCTTTGTCATATTAGGGGAACATCCCTGTTCCTTTTCTTTTTTGAGACAAAGTCTTCCCCTGTCCCCGAGGGTGGAGTGCAGTGGTGCGATCTCAGCAACTTCCACCTCCTGGGTTAAAACCATTCTTGTGCCTCAGCCTCCTGAGTAGCTGGGATTATAGGCATGTCCCACTATGCCCAGCTAATTATTGTATTTTTAGTAGAGACAGGGTTTCACAATGTTGGCCAGCCTGGTCTCAAACTCCTGACCTTAAGTGCCTCCTGACCTGCCTTCCTTGGCCTCCCAAAGTGCTGAGATTACAGGCATGAGCCACCGTGCCCAGCCCCTATTCCTTTTCTTATGCATACTTGTCCCTGGCCCATTTCTGGTGTTTGTCTCTCCTTCAGAAAAGTTGGTGTATGGACGAGGTCAGGAGATCGAGACCATCCTGGCTAACATGGTGAAATCCCGTCTCTACTAAAAATACAAAAAATTAGCCGGGTGTGGTGGCAGGCACCTGTATTCCCAGCTACTGGGGAGGCTGAGGCAGGAGAATGGCGTGAACCCGGAAGGTGGAGGTTGCAGTGAGCCGAGATCGCGCCACTGCACTCCAGCCTGGGGGACAGAGCGAGACTCCGTCTCAAAAAAAAAAAAAAAAAGTTGATGTATGGAGCTGCAGCACCTTTTTCCCTTGCCCTCCTCTTAACTACTTTGTCTTCCCTTGCAGACCCATGGGGAAATGAGAAAGAACCACCGGCTGGTAAGTTGGCATTGGGATTTAGGGAATGATAATCTGATGGAGGAAGTGTGACTTTAACCGACCACCTCCCTCTCTTCTCGGGCAGAAAATTGGCTTCTTCAACCAGCAGTATGCAGAGCAGCTGCGCATGGAGGAGACGCCCACTGAGTACCTGCAGCGGGGCTTCAACCTGCCCTACCAGGATGCCCGCAAGTGCCTGGGCCGCTTCGGCCTGGAGAGTCACGCCCACACCATCCAGATCTGCAAACTCTCTGGTACCACTTCAGGGGCCAGGGAGGGTGCCCTTCACCTTATCATTCATGTCTACAAACTGTACCTAGAGGAACCGAGAATGAGGGAGCCTCAGCTCACAAACTGGCACATCTTGAGGGTTTGCCTTCAGAATGTGAGGTGCTAGGTGTGACAGCCCTCCCCTTCCTTTGCTACAGGTGGTCAGAAGGCGCGAGTTGTGTTTGCTGAGCTGGCCTGTCGGGAACCTGATGTCCTCATCTTGGTGAGTGAGCTGGGCTGTGGGAAAAGGGATAAGGGTAACAGTAATGGAAGACGGGAGTTGCAGTGCTCAGTCATGGAATTCCTCCTATGTAGGACGAGCCAACCAATAACCTGGACATAGAGTCTATTGATGCTCTAGGGGAGGCCATCAATGAATACAAGGGTGGTAAGTCAGCTGAGAGTGTGCCCTCATCCCTGCTCCATGGGGACCAAGCTGTAGTGTCCTTCACTACAGAAGGGCCTAGGACTCCCTTATTTCATGTTCTGATTCCCCTCTTTCTCCTTTCTTCCTGCCCTCTGTTGTTGCTATCTTTCTTCAAAGCTGTGATCGTTGTCAGCCATGATGCCCGACTCATCACAGAAACCAATTGCCAGCTGTGGGTGGTGGAGGAGCAGAGTGTTAGCCAAATCGATGGTGACTTTGAAGACTACAAGCGGGAGGTGTTGGAGGCCCTGGGTGAAGTCATGGTCAGCCGGCCCCGAGAGTGAGCTTTCCTTCCCAGAAGTCTCCCGAGAGACATATTTGTGTGGCCTAGAAGTCCTCTGTGGTCTCCCCTCCTCTGAAGACTGCCTCTGGCCTGCAGCTGACCTGGCAACCATTCAGGCACATGAAGGTGGAGTGTGACCTTGATGTGACCGGGATCCCACTCTGATTGCATCCATTTCTCTGAAAGACTTGTTTGTTCTGCTTCTCTTCATATAACTGAGCTGGCCTTATCCTTGGCATCCCCCTAAACAAACAAGAGGTGACCACCTTATTGTGAGGTTCCATCCAGCCAAGTTTATGTGGCCTATTGTCTCAGGACTCTCATCACTCAGAAGCCTGCCTCTGATTTACCCTACAGCTTCAGGCCCAGCTGCCCCCCAGTCTTTGGGTGGTGCTGTTCTTTTCTGGTGGATTTAATGCTGACTCACTGGTACAAACAGCTGTTGAAGCTCAGAGCTGGAGGTGAGCTTCTGAGGCCTTTGCCATTATCCAGCCCAAGATTTGGTGCCTGCAGCCTCTTGTCTGGTTGAGGACTTGGGGCAGGAAAGGAATGCTGCTGAACTTGAATTTCCCTTTACAAGGGGAAGAAATAAAGGAAAGGAGTTGCTGCCGACCTGTCACTGTTTGGAGATTGATGGGAGTTGGAACTGTTCTCAGTCTTGATTTGCTTTATTCAGTTTTCTAGCAGCTTTTAATAGTCCCCTCTTCCCCACTAAATGGATCTTGTTTGCAGTCTTGCTGACAGTGTTTGCTGTTTAAGGATCATAGGATTCCTTTCCCCCAACCCTTCACGCAAGGAAAAAGCAAAGTGATTCATACCTTCTATCTTGGAACATGGGTCTCTTTCCTTTTTTTTTTTTTTTTTTTTTTTGACAGAATCTTGCCCTTTCACTCAGGCTGGAGTGCAGTGGCATGATCTTGGCTCACTGCAGCCTCCACCTCCTGGGTTCAAGCAATTTTCCTGCCTCAGCCTCCCGAGTAGCTGGGATTACAGGCACACACCACCAGGCCCAGCTAATTTTAGTGTTTTTAATAGAGACAGGGTTTTACCATGTTGGTCAGGCTGGTCTCGAACTCTTGACCTCAAGTAATTCACCTACCTTGACTTCCTAAAGTGCTGGGATTATAGGGATGAGCCACTGTGCCCAACTTCTTTTTTTTTCTCTTTTCTGAGACAGGGTCTTGCTGTGTTGCCCAGGCTAGAGTGCACTGTACCCTCAACCTCCTGGGCTCAAGCAATCCTTCCACCTCAGCCTCCTGAGTAGCTGGGACTACAGGCATGTGCCGCCACACTCAACTAATTTTTTTTTTTTTAATTTTTAGTAGAGACAGTGTCTTGCTATGTTGCTTAAGGCTGGTCCTGAACTCCTGACCTCAGGCAGTCTTCCTACCTCGACCTCCCAAAGTGCTGGGGTGCTGGGATTATAGACGTGAGCCACGACGCCTAGCCAGAATTTGGGTCTCATTGTCCAAGTTAATCTCATGAATGAGGAGGTGCTCTGCCCTGTGGCCAGGGACCAGGGTATTGATTCTCTCAAAAATTATTAAATCATCTAGCCAAAATGTACGGTACTGTGGGGTATATAAGAAGGGAAGAGACAAGATCTGCCTTCATTAATAGTCTGGTTAGAGAAGACTTAAAAGTAAGCATGAATAGATAATTAATTTGATCAATTGTCTAATATGTCGTACTCTAGATTCTAAGTTGCCACATACTCAAAAAAGGGAAAGATTATCCAGGGCCTGATTATTTGACAGGGTCACTTGAGGGTAGATCTTGAAAAATGATGATTTGACTAATCAGGGACCAGGGAGCCATTTTTCAGAAGTAGGAAAAGAGCAGATCTCAGGCTTGGGGGGAAGAACAAGCTACTTGGGAGTTAATGGATGATAGCTGCTGTGGCCATTTTTCTTAAGAGTTAGACTGGGGAGATGGGTTTGGAAAGTAAAATGCAAATGGTGGGTAGTGGTATTAGGTGGTGATGTGCAAGGCGTGCTGTAGAAACCTGCAGGGTGAAGCCCATAACTTTTGTTACGGGAATGGGGTAACTGAATCCTAAACTAGCTAGGGGAGATAGGGATGGAAAGAGCAGATGTGGAGGTTGGGGAGAAGGGAGTGACAGGAGATATATCCAGTTCCAGAGGGAATAGGGAGAGCTGTGTGGCTAAGATTTAACTGTTTGGACATTTAATTTGGGGAAATTGTTTTCCAGCCAAGTGAATAAATAATACTGGACTTCAAGTACAAGCTTCATACAGGAAGTGAAGTTTTGGTGTGGAGATAGCTGCATAGTCAGGGAACACTCTAAATTAAAAATAAGGAGGCCGGGCATGGTGGCTCATGCCTGTAATCCCAGCACTTTGGGAGGCGGGCAGATCATGAGGTCAGGAGTTCGAGAGCACCCTGACCAACATATTGAAACCCCATCTCCACTAAAAATACAAAAAAATTAGCCGAGCGTGGTGGTGCACACCTGTAGTCCCAGCTACTCAGGAGGCTGAGGCAGGAGAATTGCTTGAACCCGGGAGGCAGTGGTTGCAGTGAGCCGAGGTTGCGCCACTGCACTCCAGCCTGAGCAACAGAGCGAGACTCTGTCTCAAACAAAAACCAAAAGACATCAGGAAACATGCCTCTTATGGAATTTGAGGGGGAAAAGTCAGGGTCTTGGCAGTGACCTTGGACAAGCCATTAGCCTCTTGATACCTCTTTTCTCATCTGTAAAATGAAGGTGGTAGTTACCTACTTCACAGGGTTATTAGGGGATTCAATGTGTAATAATACGTAAAGTGCCTTAAATTCTGTTGCTTTTGTTATATGTATTTCATATTATATATATATATATATATATTTTTTTTTTTTTTTGAGATGGAGTCTTACTCTGTTGCCAGGCTGGAGTGCTGTGGCGTGATCTTGGCTCACTGCAACCTCTGCCTCCTGGGTTCAAGTAATTCTGCTGTCTCACCCTCCCAAGTAGCTGAGATTACAGGCACGTGCCACCACGCCCGGCTAAGTTTTGTACTTTTGGTAGAGATCAGGTTTTGCCATGTTGGCCAGTCTGGTCTCAAACTCCTGACCTCAGGTGATCTGCCCACTTCGGCCTCCCAAAGTGCTGGGATTACAGGCGTGAGCCACCGCACCTGGCCTATACTTTTGCATTTTTAAGTTTTTACTTCGCTAGTCTAGTTGAGATGATACATAAAATATATAGGAATGTTATTTATAAAGTGAATACCAGCTTGCATTTCAAATATTTGGTCACTAATTTCACTACTTCAAACATAAGTGAGAAAAGTACTTTAAGTACTCCAAAATAACTTTCCGCCACAGGCATAAATTTCATTTCTCTCTCTGTTCTTTTTTTTTTTTTTTTTTTTTAAAGATGAGGCCTTGCTATATTGCCCAGGCTGGTCCCAAACTCCTGGCCTCAAGCAGTCCTTTCTCCTAGGCTCCCCAAAGTGCTGGGATTACAGGAATGAGCCACGGCACCTGGCCACAAACTTTATCTCCTCCCGTGTATGTTTTAACTTCTGTGATCCCTGTAGCCGATCATATGTGCTGTTAATGGAATTAATAATTCACCTAAATGTGGGCAAAAGTATGCCCTCCAAAAAGCAGCATAGAAATGGAACACGAAAGGGAAACATTTCCATGGTAGCGCATGGAAATTTCATTAACCAAATTAAATTGTTTTATTTATAAACAGCTTATTACCTACAAGTGATGCACATATGTGGTACACAGTAAACATCGTAGAAATGTGTTTTTTGTTGTTTTGAGATGTGGTCTCCCTCTGTTTCCCAGGCTGGAGTGCAGTGGCACAATCATGGCTCACTGCAGCCTCAACCCTCTGGACTCAAGTGATCCTCCTACCTCAGCTTCTCAAGTAGCTGGGACTACAAGTGTCCACCAACATGCCCAGCCAATTTTTTAATTTTTTTGTAGCAAAGAGGTCTTGCTTTGTTGCCCGGGCTGGTCTCAGACTCCTGGGTTCAAGTTATCCTCCCACCTCAGCCTCATTAAAGCCAAAGCCTGAAGGTAGGAAAGGAAGAGCCTTCAGGGAAGGGACCAAAATGTGCAAAGACCCTGAGGCTGAAAAGAGCTGAACATGGTCAAGGAATGGCTGGAGCTGAGAACTTGAGCATGCGCCAATACACACGGGGCCTTATATGCATAGACAGCAGGTTGGGATGTGATCAGGAGAGGCTGAGCAATGGGAGGCCATTGGTTCTGTTTAGCCAGGAGTGCAAACTGATTCAGTTTTCATTTTTACAAAATTGCTCCTGGCTGCTAGGTGGCAAATAGTGGGTGTGGGGAGACAGGGAAAAGAGATGCCAGGAGAACAGCTCAATATTACTTTGGAAAGAAGATTCTCTTCATCTAAGAATGGAATGGAAGGGAGATAATGTAGACTCAGATATTTCCATGTGAAGGGAAGGGAAAATGTTGCTCACAGTGGATGGGACTCACTTTTTCCCAAGCTTTGGTGCCAGAGAATCAAGAAGAGTAGGCCGCGCACGGTGCCTCATGCCTGTAATCCCAGCACTTTGGGAGGCCGAGGCAGGCGGATCACCTGAGGTCAGGAGTTCGAGACCAGCCTGACCAACTTGGCAAAACACCGTCTCTACTAAAAATGCAAAAATTAGCCAGGAGTAGTGGCACGCATTTGTAATCCCAGCTACTCAGGAAGCTGAGGCAGGAGAATTACTTGAACCTGGGAGGTGGAGGTTGCAGTGAGCGGAGATCATGCCATTGGACTCCAGCCTGGGCAACAAGAGCAAAACTTCGTCTCAAAAAAAAAAAAAGGTTTGCTGAGCAGCAGTAAGTGTAGAATCAATGCTAACATTAATTTGTACTGGGCTAAGATAGTAGGATTTTGTGATTTTTCAACATTAGGTCTACTGCCCAGGAGTAGGAATGAAAGAAATAGGATAATGATTCTGAATTGAAGATAGACCCCGTTGCACCTGGGGAAGGATTGACAGAAAGAGAACGTTGAATGTCACAAGGGTATTTTAGAGGGAAAAAATGGAAGCAGAAAGGAAAAACAGACTGAAACGGTAGAGAGAAAAGTGCCTGCAGGGAGGGCTTGGTGAAGAAACATCATTGTAGTGAAATGAATGAAATGTTCAACCTCTCTCCCCCTGCAAAAAAACAAAAAACAAGGAAAATCTTCTCTTTATATAATCTAAAGTTTTTACGTAAGTAAAAAGGAACAGGTAGGCCGGGTGCCGTGACTCACACCTGTAATCCCAGCACTTTGGGAGGCCAAGGCGGGTGGATCACCTGAGGTCAGGAGTTCGAGACCAGCCTGGACAACATGGTAAAACCCCATCTCTACTAAAAATACAGAAATTAGCCAGGCGTGGTGGCAGGTGCCTACAATCCCAGCTACTCAGGAGGCTGAGGCAGGAGAATCCTTGAACCCAGGGGGCAGTGAGCCAAGATCGTGCCATTTCACTCCAGCCTGGGCAAAAGAGTGAAACTTGTCTAAAAAAAAAAAACAGGTTTCTTTGAATTTTTTTTTTTTTTTTTTTTGAGATGAAATTTTGCTGTCACCCAGGCTGGAGTGCAATGGCACGATCTCAGCTCACTGCAACCTCCGCCTCCTGGGTTCAAACGATTCTTCTGCCTCAGCCTCCAGAGTAGCTGGGATTACAGGCACCAGTCACCACGCCCGGCTAATTTTTTGTATTTTTAGTAGAGACGGTTTCACCATGTTGGTCAGGTTGCTCTCGAACTCCTGATCTCAGGTGATCCACGCGCCTCGGCCTCCCAAAGTGCTGGGATTACAGGCGTGAGCCACCACGCCTGGCCGAATTTTCATAAATGATTTGAAAGAAAATGAGCTCATTCTTTCTTTTTTTTTTAGACGGAGTCTTGCTCTGTCGCCATCCTGGAATGCAGTAGCGTTATCTCGGCTCACTGCAACCTCTGCCTCCTGGATTCAAGCGATTCCCCTGCCTCAGCCTCCCAAGTAGCTGGGACTACAGGTGCGTGCCACCACTCCCGGCTAATTTTTTTTTTTTTTTGAGACAGAGTCTTGCTCTGTCGCCCAGGCTGGAGTGCAGTGGCGCGATCTCTGCTCGCTGCAAGCTCCACCTCCCGGGTTCATGCCATTCTCCTGCCTCAGTCTCCTCAGTAGCTGGGATTACAGGCACCCGCCACCACACCCACCTAAGTTTTTGTATTTTTAGTAGAGAAGGGGTTTCACCTTGTTAGCCAGGATGGTCTCCATCTCCTGACCTCATGATCTGCCCGCTTCGGCCTCCCAAAGTGCTGGGATTACAGGCGTGAGCCACCGCGCCTGGCAATTTTTGTATTTTTAATAGAGACGGGGTTTCACCATGTTGGCTAGGATGGTCTCCATCTCCTGACCTTGGGATTTGCCCGCCTCGGCCTCCCAGAGTGTTGGGATTACAGGTGTGAGCCACCGCGCTCGGCCGAGCTTATTCTTAAAATACAGTAAAAACTTTAAGCTCTCTTTTAAGGTTCTTGTGGCTTGTTGCAGGAGATAGAAGAAAGGTGAGAAGCAGGCAGTAAATGGAAGCAGAAAGAGACACAAAGTTGTGACCACTAGGTTGTGACATGTTTGGGTTTTTTCACTTGAGCTGTATACTTCTTTGGTATTTCACGCCCTAGCCTGGTCCTTAGATTATGTCTTCTCAGGTCTTCTCCCAGTGCACACAGCAACAACAGACTGACCTGAACACCTCCGCCCACACACACCAAGCCTGGGCAAGGGGAAGGTAAAACTACCCACTTTGGGCCTACATGCAGTGAGGCCTTTCAGATACTGATAAAACATTGTTGCCCCCTCATGTGGCCAATGCTGGAAATACAGCTGAGACACGTATTCCAGGGCAGTGTAGCAGCCTCAGCAACTGGGAATTTGTTAGAAATGCATATCTCGGGATCCATCCTGACCTACTAAATCAGAATTTTGCTGGACCCTACCCCCAATCTGTCTGTTTTTTCTTTTTGTTTTGTTTTTGTTTTTTGAGATGGAGATGGAGTCTGGCTCTGTCACCCAAGCTGAAGTGCAGTGGTGTGATCTCTGCTCACTGCAACCTCCACTTCCCGGGTTCAAGTGATTCTCCTGCTTTAGTCTCCCAAGTAGCTGGGATTACAGGCGCGAGCCACCATGCCTGACTAATTTTTGTATTTTTAGTAGAGATGGGATTTCACCATGTTGGCCAGGCTGGTCACAAACTCCTCACCTCAGGTGATCCATCCGCCTTGGCCTCTCAAAGTGCTGGGATTACAGGCATAAGCCACTGCATCCAACCCAAATTTGTTTTTTTTTTTCTTTCTTTTTTTTTTTTTTTTTTTTTGAGACCAAGTTTCGCTCTTGTTACCCAGACTGGAGTGCAATGGTGCGATCTCGGCTCACCACGACCTCCACCTCCCGGGTTCAAGCAATTCTCCTGCCTCGGCCTCCCGAGTAGCTGGGATTACAGGCATGCGCCACCACGCCCGGCTAATTTTTGTATTTTTAGTGGAGACGGGGGTTCTCCATGTTGGTCAGGCTGGTCTCGAACTCCTGACCTCCTGATCTACCCGCCTTGGCCTCCCAAAGTGCTGGGTTTACAGGTATGAGCCACTGCACCCGGCCCCAGATTTGTTTTCTAATAAGCTCTTCAGATGATCCTGATGAATGCTAACAGACTTGAAAACCGCCATTCTCAACCCACATGTTAAAACATGTTAATATCTTCAACTGCCCCATATCTGCCACACACACTCCCCCCAGAGTGATGTATCCTTTCTTTTTTTTTTCAGATGGAGTTTCACTCTTGTTGCCCAGGCTGGAGTGCAGTGGTGCAGTCTGCAACCTCTGCCTCCTGGGTTCAAGCGATTCTCCTGCCTTCCGAGTAGCTGGGATAACAGGCGCCAGTAACCACACCCAGCTAATTTTTGTATTTTTAGTAGAGATGGGGTTTCTTCATGTTGGCCAGGCTGGTCTCGAACTTCTGACCTCAGGTGATCCAACTGCTTCGGCCTCCCAAGGTGCTGGGATTACAGGCGTGAGCCACCACGCCCAGCTTTAATTTCTGGTTTAAGAGTGGAGGCCAGGCGCGGAAATGGGGAAATGGAGTTTCCCTATGTTGCTTAGGGTAGTTTTGAACTCCTGGGTTCAAGTGATCGTCCCATGTGGGCCTCCCAAAGTGCTGGGATTACAGGCGTGAGCCAACATGCCCAGCTTTAATTTCTGGTTTAAGAAGAGTGGAGGCCAGGCGCGGAAATGGGGAAATGGAGCTTCCCTATGTTGCTTAGGGTAGTTTTGAACTCCTGGGTTCAAGTGATCCTCCCATGTTGGCGTCCCAAAGTGCTCGGATTACTGGCTTGAGCCACCATGCCTGGCCAGAGCCACTTTGGGAAGAGCAGTCTATACTTACCCTTTGTTTTTTTGTGACGGAATTTTGCCCTGTCACTCAGGCTGGAGTGCAGTGGCATGATCTCGGCCCACTGCAACCTGCACCTCCTGGGTTTAAGGGATTCTCCCGCCTCAGCCTCCGGAGTAGCTGGGTTATAGGCACCCAGCTAATGTTTGTATTTTTAGTAGAGACGGGGTTTTGTCATGTTGGCCAGGCTGGTCTCCAACTCCTGACCTCAGGTGATCCACCCACCTCGCCTTCCCAAAGTGATGGGATTACAGGCATGACCCAATATGCCTGGCTTTTTTTTTTTTTTTTTTTTTTTGAGACAGGGTCTTGCTCTGTTGCTCCGGCTGGATTGCAGTGGTACAATCATAGCTGTGAGTTTGAACTCCCAGGCTCAAGTGATCCTCTCGCCTCAGCCTCCCAGGTAGCTGGAACTAAAGGCATGTGCCACCATGCCTAATATTTTTTGTATTTTTTGTACAGACCTGGTCTCCCTATGTTGCTCAGGCTGGTCTCAAACTCCTGGGCTCAAGTAGTCTTCCCACCTCGGCCTCCCAAAAGTGCTGGGATTACAGACATGAGCCACTGATACCCAACACTAACCTGGCTAAGGTCACCCAGGCTGTAGAGAGGTAGAGCTGGGACAATGGCCTTTATCTGACTCCAGCATCCTCAGGATTTCCTCCCTTATCTGTAGAATGTGGATAAGATGACCAAGAACACATCCTAGAGGGCACGATAGCCAGGATAGGACTGTTCTAGGAACACACACGAGGCGTGTTAAAGAAGACTCAGAAAGATGAAAACCAGGAAAGAGCCCTGTGGCCGAGATCTACTCTGTATCCTAGAGTATTTTATGTACTTTTTGAAGCATTTTTTCACCAGTACTTAATAGCAACTGTTAGATCAAGCATTAGCTCCAGAGGAGTAAAAATCAGATTCCACAGATTTGTACTAATGTATCTAACACAGGTGGTAATGGCTTTTAAAAAAAAAAAATGAAAAACAGTCCAGGCCGGGCGCGGTGGCTCACGCCTGTAATCCCAGCGCTTTGGGAGGCCGTGGCGGGCAGATCACGAGGTCAGGAGTTCCAGACCAGCCTGGCCAACATGGTGAAACCAAGTCTCTACTAAAAATACAAAAAAATTAGCCAGGCATGGTGGCAGGTGCCTGGAATCCCAGCTACTCAGAAGACTGAGGCAGAAGAATCCCTTGAACCCAGGAGGCAGAGATTGCAGTAAGCCAAGACTGCACCACTGCATTCTAGCCCAGGCAACGGAGCGAGACTCCGTCTCAAAAAAGTCCAAACACACTAGGGGTTAAATAAGCTGCTTCTCTTTCCACTGTTTATTATTAATGTACAAAATATACAAAACCAAAAAAAAAAATACTCATCCTCAAATCCATTTTGGCTCTAACCCAAGACCCTGCACAAAACCCAACCAATCCACTGTTTTCATAGAAAACAACTGATGCCAAAGTGAAGGAGAGAACTGGGAAAGGGCAAAATCATCTTGTTGAATCCACCCAGGAAGGCGCCTGGTGGGGATTCAGAGGTGGTTGACAGGGTGAAGTACCTGGAAGCCTCCTTCACGCTGGCAAGGTTCCAGGTGGGAGCAGGGAGTGAGCTGACTCCCAAAGGCAGTGCATGTAGTGTGACTTTCAGGCCCAGCACGCCGGGCCCAAGTTGATGAGAAGCTGGTCTCACTGAAGTATTTTATCAAGTCTCCAGACTGGCTATAGTTGGCAAAGGCAGACCAGCACCACCGGTCTCACCTCTGCCAGCTAAAACTTGCACCGGATGCAGATACGAGTTCGCCATCATCGAACCTAGCAGACCCAGGACGCAGACTGGGTGTTCACAGAAAGTTGAAGGTCCCACTTGAGAAAGGACTAAGAATGGTGAGCCCACGCTGGGGGAGGGGTGGGGATGATGTGTGTTCCAGAACTCAAATCCAGCTGATTGAGCCCTCTCAGTGCAGTGGGATATACAATACCCCTTTCAGCATCTCCCCACCCCATGAGGAATAATGAACTTAGCTGGGATGATTTCTTAAGTGCAGCTGATCCTGTGTCAGAGTTCTGTGTGCATGTGGGGACCCGCAATAGAAGGGTAGGGGTGTTCGCCAGGATAACCAGCTTTAGGTTCTCAAGCATTAAGGGTAATACTGGAAAGGGGTTTGGGGTACAGGGCGAATCTTCTCAAAAAGTGAAGCCAACTGGGTCTCCTCTTCAGCAGTCCAGGAACGTTTCCAGTCTCTCTCCTCCCCAGACTGGAGGAAAATATGTACATCAATGCGCACCAGTGATCAGAAAACCCCCAGGAACCCAAGCAAGTGGGAACTGAGGGGGCCGGCTCCTCATCAGCTGGGGAAAAGGGAAAATGGGCCTCACAGAAGCCATAACAGGGTGGAAAGAGCGAGGCTGCAGTCCACAGGGGTTGTGTGAACAGGGCAGGCAAATGGTCCCTAGGGCAGGGGGGGCCCATTGACACCCGGGTGGTAGAAGGCACAGTTGTTCTCATAGCGGCAGTTGCCCTTCATCATGAAATGTCGGCAGACAGGGCGGTTTGACATGTCTGTGGGAACGATGGCAAAACAGTTAGACAGGAAATAGCTGAGGGCAATGCCACCCTCACCACCCCTTGTCCATGACATCCTGAGAACTGTCTTTCAGAGACAATCTTGGGGATTTGGGGGAAGGGCATAGAGTAGGAACTGCTATGCATACTAGGACATCAAAGAGACGGGTACCTCACGTTCTGCCTAGCTACCAACAGTAGTGACTCTCACCCACTCCCCAAAAGCTTGTATGGGACAACCAAAAGGCATATGGGGGACAGGGAGCATCCTCACCTCCTCCATGGCTGTGGCCTCCATCGTGCCCTCGGTGGCCCCCTCCCCCGTGGCCAGGACCATCATGGCCACGGTGCTCATGAGGTGGCGGCCCTCGATGGTCATGGCCTCGGTGACCAGGGACATCATGAGGCCGGTGGCCATGGGGCCCCCCGTGTCCAGGGCCTTCATGGGGACGATGTCCACCACTTCCACCCATGCTTCCGCCAGGGCCTTCGTGGGGGCGATGTCCACCACCGGCACCCATTCCTCCGCCAGGGCCTTCATGGGGACGATGGCCACTGCCACCACTGATGCCACCGCCAGGGCCTTCGTGGGGACGATGTCCTCCACCCCCACCCATGCTACCACCAGGGCCTTCATGGGGGCGATGCCCACTTCCCATGCCACCGCCAGGGCCTTCGTGGGGACGATGTCCACTGCTGTTGCCCATGCCCCCACCAGGGCCTTCGTGAGGACGATGCCCACCACCTCCAACCATGCCCCCACCAGGGCCCCCTCGTCCATTTGGGGGTCCTCCTCCAGAGCGACCTCCTCTGGCGCCTCGGAATGGAGGAGGAGGAGGAGGAGGTTCGTTTCCTCCTCGGCCACCTCGGCCTCTATGGTATGGTCCAGGACCTGGTCCTGGACCCCCCCGCATTGGGCCACCCCGCATAGGGTCGCCCGGGCCATCCCAGAAGGGATCACCTCCCCGGGGAGGGGGTGGAGGACCCAGAAGACGTGGACCCACTGGCCCACCAGGGCCTCCATGGGGACCTGTAAGGGGACAAAAAAGAGAGACAGTATCAGCTACCAGGAACTGCCATCTCCCAACCTAAACCACCACCTCCCACCTTCCAGTCAATCCTATACTATTATCAGACTGAAATTAAGCAGATAAGCCCATTCCAACCTTTTACTCACCACCTACCTGGCATAGGTCCCCCAGGTCCAGGGGGAAAGTGCTGCATGCCCTTGGGGCCCCCAGGACCCCCTGGTGGGAAACCATTGGCTATTGGGCCAGGGCCTAGGAGTCCATGTGGCACTGTTAATGAAAACAAGAGTAACACAGCATGAGCACTCTAGAAGACTAGCATGATCTCCCATTTAGGTGCAACCAACTGACCCTCTCAAACCAACCTGGCAGAGCAATGCTCTCTCTGTCCAGTCTTCCCCTCCCATTTCTTGCCTAGTGGCCACAGCCCTGTATTCTTCTGCATCTTTGAAACCCTGCTTCCCCCAACTCCACTGCAGGCTTCCTCCCCCAGTCCCCTGGGGCTGGCCCTGAAGATTACCCAGCATCTGCTTGATCTTGTCCGAATAGTCTGGTTGTTTCAGTAGTTCCTCTGAAGGATGACTGTTTGGGCTACCCTGTGAGGATGTAAGAAGGCAAAGTCAACAGACAGAAAGGGTAACAACCATGGCGAAAGATAGCGCCAAAGATTAGGGGTAAGTGGGTAGATGTGGAGAACTGGGGTAAGGCGAATGGGAGACAGTGAGGAGAGCGAGCTTAAGGAGGCTCCACAGAAGGTGGAAAAGGGGAAGGAGGGTGCGTACCATGATGGAGGTGAGGATCTCTTGGACATTAATGCCTCCTCCTCCAGGGCCTTGGGGGCCCTTTCCAGCACCCATGCTTCCCATAAGATTGGCCAGAACTGGAGGCAACTTGGAGCCTCCTGCCCCATCAGGTGAGCCACCTGACCCCCCAGGTTCCAGAGTCTCAACATACGGAGTCTCATCCATGGAACACTCCTGAAAGAAGAACAAAAAAAATCAGGATTGACAGAACAGAGACATTCTCATATGAAAGATGCACCGAATTCAATGACCATCACAACTTCCATCATCACAGAACATTGACTTACCTCATCTAGGGGGATGAGTTTAGGGGGTATGGGCTCGTAGGGCTCAGGATCAGGCTCATGAGGACTATCAGGAACAACACAGGTGAGAGAAAAAAGAATGATAGTCAAGTTATTAATTCAGACCCTGAAAGTAATTTCTAACCTCCACCCCGTAATTACCCCAGCTCATGTTCCCTCAGGAGTGTCCAAGCACTCAACATCCCAGGGCACGAACCCCACTCTGCTCACCTCTCCTTGTTCAGGAAGAGCTCCTGAAGGATTCCCTTCTCCCGCTCAGCCTGGATATATCGCTCCTGACTATTGCTTCCAGGGGTGACAAGAGGTGAGGGCAGAACCAGGGGCCGGGGGCACACCCAGGGCACCTTCTCCTCCATGTTATCATGGCTCAGACGCCGCGCTGTCTCAAATGCATGTCGGTCTGACAGTATCTCTCGCTTAGCCGCCTCACCAAAGTCCTTGATCTTATTCACATTTACTGTCGGCAGGGGAAGAAAAGCAAGAGGGAAAGTAAGCACAACCAAGTCCTTTCAAAATCCCTTAAACACACCTATTACGTAGGAAATGACCTCTTACCTCGTTCAGTTTCATCCAATTCAAAATAGAAATATTCTCTCAGTTTGCCTTCCTCAGGCCATGTCACACTTTTCCTCTTCCTGCCTTTCCGGGTCAGTTGGTTAGGATCTCCAGGACTCTCCACTGGCTTGGCATCCAGAGCTCCTGGCTCCAAAGAGGCTGGAAGCAGAAGAGGTTTCAGACCCAGATCCCTCCTTTCAGAAAACCCCCCAAACTGAACCAGTTTCTAGATTACCTGTATCCATGAGCTCCGGGACTTCAACAGGGGGAACCGGGGTGCCTGGACGGTCTGCGTCCATTGCCTCAGAAGGTGGTGCTGGTTCTGGGGAAGAAGGTTTGGCTGTGCTTGGTTCTGTGCTCGTTTTCCCTTCAAAGGGGCTTGGCTATTGTGAAAGAAAAGGAAGTTAATGAACTGACTGGAAAGCCAAGGGCAAGGCAATTAGTCCAGGGTCCCAGGCACAGTCCCCCAACAGTTCCTATATAAAGGAAGACTCTGTCTCCACAATGTCTCACCTGCACCAGTCTATATCCAAGGCAAAACGCCTCTTGTTGTCCTCCCCGACAACTCCTAGCTGCTGTGCCCTTTCTTCTACTTTACCTTTTATACTCTGTCACTGAAACCTACTTCTGGGAGCCCATACCTTGGCAGCCGTAGGTGACAGTACTTTTTTTTTCTTCTTAATTTTGATGCCTGGAACAGGGGCTGAATTAAGAGCATCCAGAAAGCCCAGGCCCTCCATAGCTACAAAAAGAAAGAGCACCAAATGGCATCATCAGACCTCCTTCATAATCCTACACCTGCAAACACAGTCCAGGCATAAAATGAGCCAGTGAAGACCCTGCCTCAACTTAGGACACGATAAGCTCAAGAGGACCAGGAAGCACATGCAGGAGGATTCACACAGGATATTCTTGTTGTTATTCTAGGTTTCTCATGGCAGGCAAGCCATAGCTTTGGATGTGAATTATAGCTCAGGTAGCTGACGAAGTGAGCCCTTGTGAACATGACAGATCACCTTACCAGGTGCCCCTGACCAGTCACAGAATGGCACACGTCCCTATCTTATCTCTAAAATTACTCCTAAGTGACCCCTGAAACGGGAGTTCCAGAGGTACAAAAAGTAAGGGATACCAAGAAATCAAAGGAAAATGGAGGGAAATAATAAAAGAGAAGGGAAAAAACTTCTCGTTCCCAGGGACATTCATTCCCATAAGAGTTTGCTCCTGGCCAGGTGCGGTGGCTCATGCCTGTAATCCCAGCACTTTGGGAAGCTGAGGTGGGTGGATCACGAGGTCAGGAAATCAAGACCATCCTGGCTAACATGGTGAAACCCCATCTCTACTAAAAATACAAAAAATTAGCCGGGCGTGGTGGCGGGCACCAGTAGTCCCAGCTACTCGGGAGGCTGAGGCAGGAGAATGGCGTGAACCCGGGAGGCGGAGCTTGCAGTGAGCCAAGACCGTGCCACTGCACTCCAGCCTGGGTGACAGAGTGAGACTCTGTCTCCAAAAAAAAAAAAAAAAAAGTTTGCTCCTAATTCAAAGTACATCTTCCCCACTTTAGACTCACGCTGTGGCGGGATGATCTTCACTTTGATCTCTTTGGTGGCATTAGGTGTTGTGTTGAGTGGCTTGTATTTCTTCTCTGCAGGGGGAGTGGCATCTCCTGGAGCAGCTACGTTGCTGTCAGAAGAGGAACTGTCATCAACATCTCCGACTCACCCCCTCCTGCTCCCTTGTGTCCACAGATCCACCCCATTCAGAGCCTGAGAATATGGTCCATACCTCTGACGTTTGAGGGGGATGGGTTTAAGGTTGTACTTGTCAGAAACCACCACTGTGCTGGCATTCTTCTTCACAGGCACCAAGGATGGTGTCTCCAGCTCTAGTCCTGGGGAAAGAAGCACGGTGTGGGCAGCTGAACTCAAACCCCAGACCCCCGAATTTTCCTCCCGTTCTCACCCGCAAATGTTCTTCTAGCCTTGTAACCAAAGCTTCCTCTGCTAGTCTTCCCTCTTCCTTACGATTAACATACCACACATCAAATGATTCCCCCATAAGGCTTTGGGTGTGCACATGCCCATGAACCCTCCAGAGGCCAGCCGCCAGTCTTACCAGTGGAACGGAACTTGGCATGACTGGGTGCTGTGGTGCGAAGAGACTTGGGCTTCTCCCTCTTCTTCTCTGGGGCCTCCTCAGCCCGGGTCTCAGCCTTCACCTCTGTCAAAGGTCGCTCAGGAAGGGTAGTTCGACTTTTTCCTTCATCTTTACGTTTCTTCTTATCTTTCTCTGTTGTGAAAAAACAAAGCAGAAAAGGATTTTATTTAGATGAACACTGTCAGAGGTGAAGCAGACTGGGAGCACCTAAAGGCCACATCCCAATAGGAAAGAAATAAATACAAAGGATAAAGGACTAAGGAGCTTACCAGCAGGCTGGGTACTGCTCTGAGAGCGGATGACAGCCATCCAGTCGCTGACAAGGACTGAGGCCAATTTCCGGAGCTCTGCAGGTGACAGAAAGGGGAAATGCCTAAATAATGTAAAGTAACATTCTTCCAGGAACAGAAAATGGGAGGTTTGAGAAAATATTGTGAAAATTTATGTAACGGAGAAAGTAACCCAAAGTTTTAAGAAGAACATGAGATATGCTTAAAAACCAAACCCTTAAAAAATGGAACAATGAATTAGAGTTGTGTTCTACTTGGATAACTTTCAACTCTGATGTCATCACACCACTCTGGAGTAAAAAGACCTAATATTTCAGAATATGTGGTTAAAATCTACATTAGTAAAAGACTACACGTTGGGTGCAGTGTACACTGCTTGGGTGATGAGTGTACCAAAATCTCAGAAATCACCATTAAAGAACTTATACATGTAACCAAAATCCACCAGTTCCTCAAAAACTGACATTTTTTTAAAAAGCTACGTTAGTTGCTTTATGTATAACACACCTAATTGTTACAACAATCTGAAGACTTTTTATTTTCCTTTATAGATGTGAAAACAAGAATAAAATTTGTTTCTAAATATATGAAAAAATACTTTGTAACTCTTTCCTTTTGTACTTGGCAAATAACATCTCTGATCTATGGCACCTCTCTTCTGGCCAACATTTCCACTTATAAACTCATTTCATAATTTATCATTTAGTAATAGGAGTTTCACAGATGAGACACGCTAGGATGATACTATTTCCCACAGCAAATTTTAAGTGTATGTGTTTTATAACAAGCAATTTTAGGAATCAGCTTCCAGTTAAAGTATGGCACCTTATATTCAGCAACAGAGAAATGAACAACTTTGGAATTGAGAACAGGAAAGAGGGTACAGGTTAGAGGAACTTTCTCTTTAAAAGAAGGAAAAAAAGCAAGGTGAGGTAGAAAGAGAAAAGTGAAGGGACAATCCAAGGATGGGAAAAGATATTAAGGTAATTAAGTGGAAGTAATAGAGAAAAGCCCATGAGAGAGCAGGAGTGGCACCCTACCTTCATCCTCACTTGACTTGCTCAGCTGCTTCACCAGTTTAGCTGTGTTGTTCTATGAGAGATGGGAGCAGCAGAAAGGTAAATGCCAGGAGGCAAATAATTCCACTTAGAGCTAAAAACGACAAAAGTTACAGTCCTCCCTGCTTTTTTTTTTTTTTTTATTTTTTGAGACGGAGTCTCACTCTGTTGCCCAGGCTAGAGTGCAGTGGCGCAGTCTTGGCTCACTGCAGCCTCGACCTCCCAGGCTCAAATGATTCTCCCACCTGAGCCTCCTAAATAACTGAGACTACAGGCATGCACCACCACATCTGGGTAAATTTTTTGTATTTTTTGTAGAGACAGAGTTTTATCATTTTTGCCCACGCTGGTCTTGAACTACTGGGCTCAAGCAATCCACCCACCTCAGCATCCCAAAGTGTTGGGATTACAGGTGTGAGCCACCACACCTGGCTGACACATTCCTTTTTTTTTTTTTTTTTTGAGACGAAGTCTCACTCTGTCGCCCAGGCTGGAGTGCAGTGGTGCGATCTCGGCTCACAATAACCTCCACCTCCTGGGTTCAAGCGATTCTCCAGCCTCAGCCTCCTGATTAGCTGGGACTACAGGCGCATGCCACCATGCCTGGCTAATTTTTTGTATTTTTAGTGGAGACGGGGTTTCACCACGTCAGCCAGGATGGTCTCAGTCTCCTGACCTCATGATCCGCCCGCCTCAGCCTCTCAAAGTGCTGGGATCACAGGCGTGAGCCACCGTGCCCAGCCGCCACACACCTATTAAAGGAGATAAATTCAAACCAAGTCTTCTTCTTCTAAATTCCTATTTTTTTTCTGCTGTTCTACCTCACAGGCCCAAGATTACAGCCACATCAGTCAGTTTGAGTTTTTCATCCATTAGACTAAACCAAAAAAGGAAGAATCAGGGTTTAAAGACTAAAGGTACCTGCTTGAGATGGTCTACAGTGAGCGGTAGATGCTGCAGGGTCAGTAGAATTTGCTGGAGGAGGGGAATGTTGTTGGTTGTCTTTGAATACGTCAGCCAATTGTTAAGAAGTTTGTAGCCGCCAACGTCAATAAATCTGCAGGCAGGCAGGAGAGTCTATCAGTAATGCCCTTTCTAGGTTTTGACAGTACCACATCCTACAATCCCAGTCTCCCATCAATGACCGAGGAACCCCATGCCTCACCGCCCCATCTTTTCGCTACACCTTCCCATTCCAACCATCCAGATCCCCACTTACTTGACCAATATTTCTGGTGAACGGGTCTGCAGGAGAATGTTCAAGTAAGTGCATCGACTCACCATCTTTCGTGCTTCCTTCATCAAACTGCAGAAGATGAGTTAGGGTTAGAAATGAAGCAGCCAGTATCTCTTCTCTTAGCAAAAGCGCCTCTCTGTGAACTGCCTAGAGATTCCTAATGACTTGGGACTTTGCTCCAGAGAAGGGGAGTCACATATACCTCTAGGAAGATGGGATGGATCCAGTGTGACATGGAAACTTATGGGAGAACAGAGACACCGCAGTCTCTGACCTGGGGAGGAGAGCATCGCTGCCTCCGTAACACACAGGATGAATTCCATTCTGCCTCCAGGTGATAAGGCTATCCCTCAACAACTGTCCCTAATAGTCTGTTCAAGACTGGCTTAGTTATTTACTCTCCCCTGAAAAACCTGAGAATCCCTGAAGGAAAATAACATTATGGGTAGGTGGAACACGAACCAAAACAATCTAGAATTCTGTTACCAGGCTACCCTGCTCTCATTCCAAAGCATGACTCCCTTGGGACCGTGGACGTCCAAATCTCCAGTTTCCATTATGGTCAGAAACAAGTGATCATCTTTTCCTATCCCTTATCCTAAAATTGTTACATTTTAATCCTATTGCACTGACTATCTTTCCCTTTCCTTTCCAGGATCATTCCAGTGTGCCTCAACTGCAGCCATGTTTTAACACACAATATTCTCTACTCACAGTGAATACAAAAAGGGGTAAAGACTCACCTGAAGATCTTGGAAATCCCATCCACACTTTTGACTTCCCCATCTCGGTTAAGGAAGCTGTCCAGGCCCTTGAGAAGTTCTTTGGGGTCTATGGGACCCGAACCCATGATGGTGGTTTCTATGGTAAGAGGACAAAACAAACAAACCCACAGAATAAATGGGTGGCAAGGACTACCCGAGTAGGCCCTCTAATAAACCACATCTCTATATTTGACAAAGTATAATGACTAATTATTCAACTATGCTATTTTTTAGATATGAAAAATCGACACAGACCACTTGCCACTACTGAGAAAATAGCCCTGGCAAGTTAAGCATGGGGAGCATATGTGACTGAACAGGAAAGCAATTCGATTGGAGGAGTAGGGCAGCACACCTGTCCCTCCCTCCCAGCAGCATCCTTCCTAGGATGGCTGAACTTCACTAGATCGTATTAAAGCTAAGATCAGTTCCCATAACAAGATGTTCAACTCTCCAGGGCATTTACACCTATCGTTAAGTCCTGTCTTCCCTAGTTGCTGATAAATTTGGCTTGAAAAACAGCCTATAGCTTGATAGAAATTGGGCCAATCTTGGGTGTTTGAGCTAAATGTCTTATAAGACTTGAGTCCTTTTTATCTTAGCCCATTAAGAGTCATAATCACTACACATGGCAAGATATGTATCAGCTGAAGTGGTAGATGATGGAGAACAAAACAAAACTTGAAAACAGAATCCCTCCCTAAGGAGATCTGGGAGTAGGTGCCAGAGATTGAGACAAATGGATGCATGGAAATCAAGCAGGTCCTCCTAGACCTTGAATAGACTGTCACTCATTAGCCAAACACTACACAAGTTTTTACTGTCTCTAAGTTAAAAGGAAGCTAGTGGTTTGTGCTTTCAAAAGCAAAGATGCGAATCTGGTCCTCTCCTCAAAAATCACGCTGTACAAGATCCCCTAGGAAAGCCTAAAACTGAAAACCATGGAACCTAAAAAGGGAACAGATAAAGCCAAATGCTAGAAAAATTCCCTTTTAAGCAGCTGTTTTAGACCAGGTTGGGAAGGGAATTAGTTAAAAGCTAAGCTCCTTTTATGGAAGGGACAAGCCAGAACTGAAGTTCCAGAAAGGTAATTTAGGATCAATATGGTTCTGATTGGGATTTTTATCTACACTGCCTCTAAATACTTGCTTCTAAGACCCAAAAAAGAGGCTGGGTGCAGTGGCTCATGCCTGTAATCCCAGCACTTTGGGAGGCCAAGGTGGGCAGATTCCTTGAGCGCAGGAGTTTGAAACCAGCCTTGGCAACATGGCGAAACCTCATCTCTACAAAACATAAGTCGAGTGTGATGGTGTGCACCTGTAGTCCCAGCTACCCGGGAGGCTGACGTGGGAAAACGGGAGGACTGCTTGAGCCCAGGGATACTGAGGCTACAATGAGCTGTGATTGTGCCACTGCACTCCAGCCTGAGAGACAGAGTAAGACGCTGCCTCAAAAACAAACAAACAAAAAACCACCAAAAAAGAAAGCCACTTCAGCAATATCTGCCTTTGGGCAATAAGGCCCACACTGAGTAGCAAGGAAGAGGCAAGAACAAAACCTTCCTCATCCTACATCTAGCACAGAAGTAACAGACACAATCCCAGCAGAAGGGTAGAAAAATCAGTATTTTACAAAGATGAGTAGTTTTGTGCCGGAAAAAACACAGGTTTCTTGTAAGACAATGCAAATTAGTTCTACTTGTTCTCAAACAAAAGAAAAAACATAGCATAACAATCTCAGCCTTTTTGTCCTCCCAACAAAAACGTCAGTAAGTTTCCAAATGTGTAGGTCCTAACAACCTAGGCGAGCAGCAGCAGAAGCAGGGAGGAGGCAGCCAGGAAGGGTAGGAGTATAATCTTGGCTCTGGAGATCATAACCTGTGGGCTGAACAGAGGGAGAGATGAGGCAAGAAATGTTGAGAAGTCGCTGCTGCCCTGGAACCTCCACAAATACAAGTGGAACCTGAGGTCAGAGAAAAAACATTCAAGGAGAATACTGGAAAAGATTAGATGTCCGTGGGCCAAATCCACTCAAGTGTGGTGATTCCTACACACACAGAGACAGACACAGAAATAAACGTATTCTTCCCATGTAGTGAGATACTATAAAGTGATCTATAGAAACTATAAAGAGATACGATAAAGGGACACATAAAACAGATATCACATCTGTTGGAGACTGGAAAAGCAATGTATGGGTTCCAATAACAACATATCATAAGCAATCAAGAGACTAAGAAATTTTTAAAACTCCCTCTCTCTATATATACACACATACCTACCATTAGATTCCTAAAGCAAAATATATGCAATTTGACAAAAGGCCTTGAATTAAACATCATTTCAAACCAGTTACCCTTGACTGATTCAAACCCAGAGTTGAATATATATAACCCTGGAGAATTCCTTTTTGCATATCCAACTACAAGCTAAGCCAATAAATAGACCTACTACCCCTATTTCCTTCAGACACTAAATAAACTGTCATCTGAGCTCAAGTGTTCCTTAAGAGGATGGGAGACAAGAAAGAAGAGCCAGTCTTAGAAAAATGGACCAATGAGTACAAAGCTAAATTCTGTCCAGTGCCCTCTGCTGGAAATGGGATCCAGGGACTTTTTTATTCCCACATGTATAAACAAGAATAAAAGACATTAATAGTCAAAGGGAAGCTAAGAGACAAAGCAAAATTAGCGTTAAATATTCATTTTCCACTACTTATATTTTGGAAATATAAGTGAAATTTTGTCTCATGAGCACCAATCTTGATAAAATGTAAGTGGGTTTTCTCATGATGGCCTTCCTTCAGGAAGATTAGTTCTTATTTAAAATTAAGGACCCCAAGTGTCTTATAACCTAGTTTCCTTGCTTTGAAGTCAGTATATTTTGGAAAAAAACCAAACAATTTCCAAGGCGCTCAAGTGGAAAGGAATGTAAAGTCCAACATTTCGGGCACAGGGCTACAGCAGAGAAGGCAAACTGAGTTGATGAAGGCAGGCAGGGGCCGTGACTAAGTGTTGTAACATTACCTACTCAAGATCTGGAGTCTAGAATGAAAGCTTAAGAAAGCTTTCTGGAACCACAAGTAATCCACGGCATGATTATGTCTTCTTTTAATGAGCTGCTATTTTCTTGACTGCAGAACATACAGAAGGTGGGGAGTGAGGTAGCAACCCCCTGGCCTACCTCCACCTCATCCTAAGCTATGCGTTCCTTATGGAGAATGTTTCAGGCAGAGCCATACTCTACTGGCACAAGGCATTGGGGAATTTTCTACCATTTTTACCAGAGATAAACGTCTGTGACACCAACTCCTGCCTTCAAAATGAATTTTACTTGAGGGTTATTCAATTAAATAGGGTGAAAAAATATCCAGCATAGCTAAAGTTATTCCACACCCATCACCAATGAAACAGGACTGAATTGGTTCAGGATAAAAATTCTGTGCAAGTCAGAGCTCTTTAAAAAATAACTGTCTTCTAACAAAAGGAGAAAAAAGTCCCAAATTTACCTTAATTTAGAGGCACTTCTGGAAATGAAAATGATTTGTACCTAACCCCTTATGTTCCCCTTCCTTTCTTCAGTGTTTTAGGCACTTCCTAGTTTGACACAATAGTGGACTGAATTATGTCTCTCAGGTGATTCATCACAAGGTCATAGCTTTCTTCCAAGTAGTAAGCCCCTACCCCTCAGTCATTTTGCAAACCTGATACATGAGCTCCTCAAAAGCTTATCTGCCTTCCAATAAAGATGCAAAATGATATACCACCCTGACTCATAGAAAAAGACCCCAGACTAGAACTCTGGCCACAAACTACAAGGATCAGGTTTTCCAAGATTTTCTGAATGGATGTGGTTCCCCTAGTAGACCTGGCTTCCCATCTCCCATGTTAAGGAAGATCTTCTTTATTAATCCCCTGGCTCACTAGAGATCAGGAACCCCAGTGGGTAGAATGTTCAGCTCCCAAGGAAGATATGCTGCAGAGGCACATGGCAAACTGCTTAAAAGAAAAAAACAAAACAAAACAAAAAAAGCTTGTAGTCAACAGACATGTGAAGAGTCCCTCCCATCCAATCCAGAAGCTTAAGTAATAATTTGAGAATCTGTACCCAGTAGGAAGTTAGCCCTAAGTCTCACCCAGGTCACCAGAGGGCAGTTATACTTTCCAATTCTGCCTAGAACCTCCACGCTTCAGTGCAGGACTTTTAAAAATTAAAATTATATGGAGAGTCTGATAAAGATTTGACTTTGAAAAATTTGGGGGAAGAAAGGAACCAGACACCCAATACCACCCTCAGATAGGGCATGGCTTCTGAACATGCACCAAATGCCACAGCACTGCATGAGTTGAAAAATGAAGAGGACATCATTTTTTCATTAATGCTTTTAGGAATTTCTTTTAGAAGGGAAGGAAAAAGAAATTCAAAAAAGGTGGCTCTTTGGGGAAAAAAAAAAAATGAAAGTTGTGAAATGTAATACCAGAAAGGTTTTGCTTACCAGAAACCGTAGCTTGATTCCCCCTGCCTTGAGTTTACAACTGCCGCCTCCTTTCCTAAAGATTCACTTCTTATCCTAGTACCAATGTACAGGAACTAATCAAGTGCAGAACGTGATACAGCACTGAATACAGTTTATCCCCAAACTGAGAGGTGGGAATGAGGGCGATTTAGAAGAAAGTCCTAAAAGTACCCACCTTCCCCCGATTCTCATTACACAAAGCGACCAAATGCAGGAGGCCCACTGGTTCCTAAGCAGAAATGGCACACTTCAGTGTCATTAGGCCCGTTTATCTCCAAGTTACTCTTGCAAGCCCTTGTGTCTTTCCCATCTCCCTCTACACACATATATACATACACACACGCTCACACACATCCTCAAAGCTTCCCAGTCTTAGGTTTGCCTGTTTTTTCACCCCTGGCAGCTGAAGTGGGGAAAAATTACAAGCAGTTGTGATGAGTGAAGGAAAGTGAAAATAAAAACTGGTTCTATAAAAACTAGAACTACACAGAGATGGACAGCCTTGATACTTAATTCCTATAAGCTCCTATCCCTTTAAGATATTTTATATAATGAAAATAAGGAAAATGTCTTCTCCCTAGCAGCAACGAGCACAGGCAGTGCAAAAGCATCTGCTCAGGGGTGGAGCTTCAAGAGGGTGGAGAGAGGAGGAAGAAAGCTGATTACATCACCTTTCAAGGCTGCTCCTCCCACTTGACCAAGTTTCTAGGGCGGCCCTAAGCTCAGGATGGCAAAAGGGGGAGAAAAACAACAAAGACGGAGGGACGCCATTTTGTAATGGAGAAAGAGGACTTAAACTAAAAAGCCACCCGGCTCTGCCGGTAGCTTCAGTTACATTATAAAACACCTTTTTAGTAAAAAAAAAAAAAAAAAAAAATCAAAAACCAGTTCCCCATCGTGAATAATCTTTGACCTATTTTGATCAGTAAGAGCGTAGTGAAAATTAAAGCAATTAAAATATTAAAAAGAACAATTTTCTGCAGGGAAGAACTGAATTTGCAACGGAGGTTCAACCGGCTACCATCGACCACCCCCATCCTCCCTATAGAGGGAAAGGGGGAGGAAGGACTTGGACCCCTCTCAACAAATAGGGTTGAGGTGGGAGGACAGGAAAAAAAATGGGTCAAGACACAACCTGCAACGCCGCTTGGAAGACAAAAGGACAAGGAAAGTCGCCATATTGAAGCAGGGAAGAAAAAAATTCCTTTTAACGACACAAATCTTTTAGAAAGCTAGCATTCAATTGCACTAAATGGCTTTTAAAATTATACTCCTAAATTCCACATTTCCCAACCTTTCCACCCTCTATTTAACTGTACCTCCCCCACCAAAAAATATCAAGTTAAAATGTTAATCACTCTTTTGCTTTTAAATACCTATGCAATCTGCAACAATTATAAGACATTCTTTACCTCCCCAACTATTATCTTGTATGTACTGGCACTAAGATTATATTTTGTCCTAAGTGTCTTGCAATCTTTATTCCTAGATTGCCACCTATTTTAACCACACAAATATACCCCAAGCAAATTACATTAAAATTGAGAGGATTTAACAGTCATTTAAAAAGTTATAGCGAGCTATTACTTCTCTCTGCCCATCTCCTTACCCTGCAATCTTTATGTACAGATTGCTTATTAATCTGGCAAATTGAAAGGCACCCTGCTTGTCTCACACACAAAGAAGTGGTACTTCTGGGCCACAAGATCCACCATCTCTTGTATGTGAGCTCATTAACCCTTTTGAAGACTGCTGCTAACCAGAGGAAGGTAACCATTCCTCCTTATATAAACACATATGGCTTTGGCAGTCTGGAAATTGGCTGGATTACCAAGGGTTAACCATCAAAATCCTCACTTGCTGGCCCTCCCTCCACCCTCTCTTTGCCTGCAGCAAGGCAGGGAAGAGATAGGTGGTAGGGGAGAGAGAACAAGACTGTTTAGACCCACAGGCCCTTTTTAATGGAGATTAAGTGACCAGATTGGTCCTTCTCCAGTTCTCTATTTGTTCTATGGTCTCATTTCTTCCTCTCATTATTTTTGGTTTCACAACGGGAAACGTTGATTTCTTGTTGCAAGGCTGGTTTTTGAAAATTCGACACTTACTATCCAATTTTTTTGCGACGTCAGCACCTCGGGCTCAGGGGGGAGGGGGTAAAATTTTGGAGGAAAAAAAATAAAACAACCAACCAGGACCCAAAACTCAATTATTTAGGGGGCCTCATTGGATCAAAAAGTCTTTTAAAAAATAAAGGCCAACTCAGTATTCATTTCCCCCCCACCCAACTCCATTTAGGGAGGGGGGTCGCAGAAAAAAGTTCTGAGTGGATTCAAAAAAGTAAACGCTGGATGAGTGAATTTGGGTGGTTTGGGAAGGGAGGGTGGTTGATTATTTTTGAAGTTATGTAGTGACGGTCCTTCGGCCACAGATTTCAAGTCCCAAGCAGCGTGGGCTGGTGGGGTGGGCAAGATAGGTGGGAAGGGGCAGAAGACACAAGTGGTTGGGCTGGTGGCTGCTGTTTTCCCTTTCCCCCCTCTCTCAGGATCCTTTCAAGGGCTTAGATGTTGCTGCGGCTTGTTTCTGTTTTCCTCGTGGCCGGCCTGTCTTTCTCCGAGAAAATTCAAACCTGGGATAAAAGGAACACAAGGGAGAAAGATGTAATCAGTACGGGTTGCTTCAAAACACTCACAAATGCCATCTTTGTTGTCCCCAAACAAACCTGTGTCCCATCCTGATCGCAACCGCTTTAAGCCGTGGCTCTCAAATGAACCCATCCATCCCTATCCCGCTTCCCAGATCCAACGCTCTCCGCAAAATTTTACCCACTAGACGACAAAGTAGGCAAACTTACCTCTAAACGAACCCCAGAATGGCGGCCGCCCGCTCGGGTGGAGTCTTTTATACCCGGACGCCGCCCAACGCGCCCAAACGTGCTAGTGAAACGCCCTTGTCGCGAGACATTATACGCGAGGCGTGAACTCATTGGTCAACCCAAATGACAACTCGCCAACTGATTGGCTACTCTCACTTCACCTTTGCTCCGCCCCTTTCCCTGGCACTCTCTTCCGCCTCCTTCCTGCCTCCCTGTCGCGTGCGCGTGACCAGGAGCCTAGCACCTCCCTTTCCTCTGCTTCCGCCACTTCCGCCCTGGAGAACATTTCTCACCCAGGATTGGTAGAAACCTAAGAGCGCATGCGCACTGAGAGGATACCGCTAAAAATCGCCTTCAAAATTGCTTAAAAGGCAAACTTTAACAATGCGATCTAAGAGTCGTAGTGACTGGCCAAAAAAAACCGCAATTTTGGGGTCTAATTCGATTGTGACGCAGTTGAAATTAGCTTCTCCCCCATGCCTTCCCTTTCACGCTTCCGTCCTGACGCAAACGTGGGGCCGCCTTCCGCACTGCGGGCTTGTCCTTGGCCCTGCCCTACTCAGTTTCCTGAAGCATGCGCAGTTGCCTTTCCGTCAATTCCTGTCCTGGGCGTACGTCAAGATGGCGGCGTCTGTATTAAACACCGTGCTGAGGCGGCTTCCTATGCTATCTCTCTTCCGAGGTTCTCACAGAGTTCAGGTAACTCTTCGAAAGACATTTTGCACAACCTCAAGTTGGTTATACCTTCTCGAGGTTGTCGCTCCACTGTCAGGAATCCACGAGTGGAGACCTTCCCACGTGTGTCTTAGCTGTCTAGGCAGTACTTCCTGCAACCCCCCCCCCACACCCCGCGCATTTTCTAATCCCGAGCCGAGGACTAAACGCCAGGGTTAGGTATCATCCTTTTTCCAAAATGCCATTTCAGTAAAATAACTTAAGTGATGGAATTGACCCCTGTCCACCCTCAGTCATGCATAACCAGCTTTTTAAAAATTATTTAACTAATTAAGGGGCCATGCTAATCTCTGTATCGTTGCAATTTTAGCATAACATATGTACTCCCCAAGCGAGCGCCACAACCAGCTGTTAACTATGCAAGTGGTGACTAAATCTGTGTTGCTCTGGAATGTCCTTGGGGAAATTAGGGATCCCAATTTCTACCAACCTTGCTATTTCTCAATAAGGTCAGGATATATTCTTACGACCTGAGGACAGTTTCTCAGCTCTCTTTATTAAATCAGTTTCTTATCGGAGTTATGAGAGCTTAACTCCGTCCTTTGAATTGAGGTTTCCCTCCAGTCTTGTGTACTCACCTCTCTGGAGGTTCTTGGTGGGGCACGGTGAGATAGGAAGGCTTGCCCAGCTGCCACTCCCTAAAGTGGGACTGAAGAGTGGTGACAGAGGTCAACACAGAAATAATAACAGCCTTGGTAGCTTTAAAACTAGCGTTAGGACTCAAGTTTGTTCTGCCCTGTAGAATGTTGACCTTCAGCTTTTATGAAAATGGGCAACTCAGTGACTTCATTGGATTGATTTGGAGACTCACCTGTCTTCTGCATCCCCTCCCCACCACACATCTTAGTTCCAAGAACCTAGATATCCTTCCTCTTACTTTATTCTTCCACCAGAGTCAATTTATTTCCAAAAAGCAAGAATACCTTTTATGTACTAGATTTTTTTTTCTTTTTTCTTTACACGAAATCTCACTCTGTTGCCAGGTTGGAGTGTAGTGGCGCAATCTTGGCTCACTGCAACCTCCGCCTCCCGGGTTCAAGTGATTCTCTTGCCTCAGCCTCCCGAGTAGCTGGGACTACAGGCGCATGCCACCACGCCGAACTAATTTTTGTATTTTTAGTAGAGATAAGGTTTCACCATGTTGGCCAGGATGGTCTCGATGTCTTGACCTCATGATCCGCCTGCCTGGGCCTCCCAAAGTGCTGGGATTACAGACGTGAGCCACTGCGCCCGGCCTTGTACTAGACTTTTTATTTGTCTTCTGAAATAAGATTGTTTTTTAGGCATATATCCCCTAACTTAGCTTTTCTTTCAGGATCCAATTGTAGAAAAGGAGAGTGGTTGTTGATTTATGTCAATTTAAACCCAACAAAAATACTTAACTTACATATGCATTCCTGTTATATTCCATTAATGCAGTATGTGTGCATTCCTCCTTTCCAAAGTGTGATAAGCAAAACAATTTAGTCCTTTCCTTAAACTCATTCTTTTATTTTTTTCTTCTCCTTTGTAGGTTCCCCTCCAGACTCTTTGCACCAAAGCTCCCTCTGAGGAAGATTCTTTGTCCTCAGTTCCCATTTCTCCTTATAAGGATGAGCCCTGGAAATATCTGGAATCAGAAGGTACCTCTAAAGGGGGAAAGGGAGGGTCAGATAGGATTTGAGATAAGTGGACAGAGCCACCCACTACACTCCCACCCAGGAATAACTTGTATGATCTTTCATTTCAGAATACCAGGAGCGATATGGTTCTCGCCCCGTCTGGGCTGACTACCGCCGCAACCACAAGGGTGGTGTACCCCCACAGCGGACTCGGAAGACATGTATTGTGAGTTTCTGAGAGTGGGATGTGGAGTGCGGGGAGGCCACAAGTAACAGTAACAGCAGCACTTTTTCTGACGTGTTTGAACATCCTTAACTGCTGTTTTTTTTCTCTCTACAGCGTCGGAATAAAGTTGTTGGGAATCCCTGCCCCATCTGTCGAGATCACAAGTTGCATGTTGACTTTAGGGTAAGGAGAGTCTTTTCTTTTTAGGGTAAGAAAAATAAAGATTAGGGGCTGGGCGCGGTGGCTCACGCCTGTAATCCCAGCACTTTGGGAGGCCAAGGCAGGTGGATCATGAGGTCAGGAGATCAAGACCATCCTGGCTAACACGGTGAAACCCCGTCTCTACTAAAAATACAAAAAATTAGCCGGTTGTGGTGGCGGGCGCCTGTAGTCCCAGCTACTCAGGAGGCTGAGGCAGGAGAATGGCGTGAACCCGGGAGGCAGAGCTTGCGGTGAGCTGAGATCGCATCACCGCACTCTAGCCTGGGCGACAGAGTGAGACTCCGTCTCAAAAAAAAAATAAAATAAAATAAAAAAAATTAAAAAGAAAAATAAAGATTAGGAGCCCCTTTGCAGTGCCAAAGAGATTACTGTAGGTGCCCCACACTTCGTATATCCAGGAGGCCCTACAGTCCGTTTTATAGTAACTGTTTCTGGCATTATAAAAACATCCCTCCAGCCTTTTACCTTCTACTATGGATTGTACTGAAAGTTTTATCCTATGCCTATGAAATTTACAGTCTAAATTGGCAGGTAAGAGAAATGGCTGTTTTTTTTTTTTGAGACGGAGTCTTACTCTGTTGCCAAGGCTGGAGTGCAGTGGCGTGATCTCAGCTCACTGCAACCTCCGCCTTCTGGGTTCAAGCGATTCTCCCGCCTCAGCCTCCCAAGTAGCTGTAACTACAGGCTTGTGCCACCAAGCCCAGCTATTTTTTGTATTTTTAGTAGAGACAGAGTTTCACCATATTGGCCAGGCTGGTCTCAAACTCCTGACCTTGTGACCCACCCGCCTCGGCCTCCCAAAATGCTGGGATTACAGGTGTGAGCCACCACACCCAGCCAGCGAAATGGCTATTTCTAGTGGGAGAGCCAATATCCAAAGATTCGTTTGTATTCATTACAGTTATTACCAAATATATTGGCCCACTTTCTTCCTGAGGTTTTCTTTATTTCCTTGTCAATGTTCAGTGCCATGCTGGCACCTGGGGCTGGAGGGCAGGTATATGAAGCAAGATAGAGTCCATTATTTTTCAAAAAGCCTTCAATATGTGAGAAGGACAGGATTTGCTCCTTAAAGAATTTGAAAACATATTGGCTGGGTGCGGCGGCCCATGCCTGTAATGCTAGCACTTTGGGAGGCCCAGGCAGGTGCTTCACCTGAGGTCAGGAGTTTGAGACCAGCCTGGCCAACGTGGTGAAACCCTGTCTCTACTAAAAATACAAAAATTAGCCAGGCATGGTGGCAGGCGCCTATAATCCCAGCTACTTGGGAGGCTGAGGCAGGAGAATTGCTTGAACCCGGGAGGCGGAGGTTGCAGTGAGCTGAGATTGCACCACTGCACTCCAGCCTGGGCGAAAGAGTGAAACTCCTCAAAGAAAAACAAAACAAAAAGAATTTGAAAACATTATATCAATAAAACAGATAATGGGAAAGTGTTCTTCTGAGCTTGCAGCAAAAGTATTAGAGCAGAAGCTATATGGCTGATCATCAGGGAAGTAGTAGAGCATTTGGATAACAGTCAGAAAATGGGGGTATTTGACTGCAATAAGAACCCTTCTAACACAGGTTATTTAGGAGTCCCATAGATAATTTCCCAGTTTCAATTGCATATAATTGGTTATAAAAAGAGATTATGGCCAGGTGCGGTGGCTCATGCTTGTAATCCCAGCACTTTGGGAGGCCAAGGTGAGTGGATCACTTGAGGTCAGGAGTTTGAGACCAGCCTGGCCAACAAGGTGAAACGCCGTCTCTACTAAAAATACAAAAAAAATTAGCTGGGTGTGATGGCGGGCGCCTGTAGTCCCAGCTTCTCAGGAGGCTGAGGCAGGAGAATCACTGGAACCTGGGAGATGGAGGTTACAGTGAACCAAGATTGCACCACTGCACTCCAGCCTGAGCAGCAGAGCGAGACTCCGTCTCAAAAACAAAACAAAACAGAGATTATAATTAATTACATAACTGAGAGAGAGAAATGTTACAAATTTAGTAGCATGGGTGATTCTGCTTGCATTCTACTCTACAATGTACCTGCTTTTTTTTCAAGAGTCTCATTTCCTAGTTAATTTGCTGAGAGAGAGTTCTATGTAAATTGTAAAATTATTCTTAGTATATAAATTATATTCAGCATACTATTAAATACATTAGTTGTTTATACATACACATTACAATATCATTTTTTGGGTGATTTCTGGGATTTCCAATGACCAGCCCCAGTTTTTCACCTAAAGGCTGACGTTAGAACTTAACCTCTGCAGCCCAGGCGCGGTGGCTCATGCCTGTAATCCCAGCACTTTCTGAGGCCAAGGTGGGTGTATCACTAGGTCAGGAGTTCAAGGCCAGCTTGGCCAAGATGGTGAAACCGCATCTCTACTAAAGATACAAAATAATTAGCCAGGTGTGGTGGCAGGCGCCTGTAACCCCAGCTACTCGGGAGGCTAAGGCAGAGAATTGCTTGAACCTGGGAGGCGGAGGTTGTGGTGAGCTGAGATCGCGCCACTGCACTCCAGCCTGGGCAACACAGGGAGACTCTGTCTCAAAAAAAAAAAAAAAAAAAAAAAAAAGAACTTAACCTCTGCATAAGAGATTTCTATGGGAGCACAGTGACAGAATATGGGATGTGCAAGGATGGATTCAGTGAATTGATGAAGCCAAACTGGGACATGAAGGAGGATGGCATCTGGAGAGCTGTAGAGGGGTGAAGGTGGTCCATGTGGGTGTGTAGGGATTGTGTACTTTCGATGTCCAAAGATCCTGCTGCTCTCCCTGCCTCTTTTCCTCACGTTTCTCTACCACTTTCCCCCACAGAACGTGAAGCTCTTGGAGCAATTTGTCTGCGCCCACACGGGTATCATCTTCTATGCTCCATACACAGGTTAGCCCATCATCCCTGCACCACCAGAGAGCTTTTCCTTGTGGCATGCCTTGTTTATGTAGTTGGCCAATAGGTATTTGTTCAGTGGCTCCTGCTTATAGCCTAAAAGGTCTGGCTGAACCTTTTGGAAATCTTGGCTTGCTGGGGGCTAAAGTAATTAAATGTGGACAAAAGAAAACAACAAATACAGCCAGGCGTGGTGGCTCATGCCTGTAATCCCAGCACTTTGGGAGGCCGAGGCGGCTGGATCACCTGAGGTTGGGAGTTCGAGACCAGCCTGACCAACATGGAGAAACCCTGTGGTGATGCATGCCTGTAATCCCAGCTACTCAGGAGGCGGAGGCAGGAGAGTCGCTTGAACCCAGGAGGCACAGGTTGTGGTGAGCCAACATTGCGCCATTGCACTCCAGCCTGGGCATCAAGTGAAGCTCCATCTCAAAAAAAAAAAAGGAAAAAGAAAAAAACAAGTACTTCTGTAAGCAAACTATCTAAATGTAGTTTTTAATTGATAAACAGTGATTAATTCCTTTCTATAGGGTCTTTTAACTTTTACAAAAGACTTCTCACAAATTGTCACATAAGTTATTTTATATCATTGTCAATTGGATTAGATTTTCCAAACTTGGAATCGTAAATTTAACAATTCAGAATTATATTTATTCCCTAACTACAGTCACAGGGCAAATCTGGCCCACTGTCACGTCCATTTGTTTTCATATTTTCTGCAATTGCTTCCATGCTACAATGGCAGAGTTGAGTAGCTGAGACAGAGACCACAGGACCTGCAGAGTTTAAAATATTTACTATATGACTCTAGACAGAAAAATTTTGCTAACCCCTGCTCTGAAGCAAGACAAATTTGCAGAGAATAATTTTTTGTTGTTTTTTTTTTTTGAGACGAAGTTTCACTCTTGTTGCCCAGGCTGGAGTGCAATGGTGCAATCTTGCCTCACCACAACCTCTGCCTCCCAAGTTCAAGTGATTCTCCTGCCTCAGCCCCCTGAGTAGCTGGGATTGCAGGCACATGCCACCATGTCCGGCAAATAGAGATGGGGTTTCTCCATGTTGGTCAGGCTGGTCTCGAACTCCGGATCTCAGGTGATCCAGCTGCCTTGGCCTTCCAAAGTGCTGGGATGACAGGCATGAGCCACCGTGCCCGGCAGAGACTAATCTTTGTTTTTGTTTTTTTTGGGGGGGTGTGGGTGGGGGGATGAAATCTCATTTACTCTGTCACCCAAGGCTGGAGTGCAGTGGCATGATCTTGGCTCACTGCCGTCTCCACCTCCTGGGTTCAAGCAGTTCTCCTGCCTCAGCCTCCCAAGTAGCTGGGATTACAGGCACGTGCCACTGTGCCTGGCTAATTTTTTTTGTATTTTTAGTAGAGACAGGGTTTCACCATTTTGGCCAGTCTGGTCTTGAACTCCTGACCTCAAGTGATCCTCCCACCTAAGCCTCCCAAAATGCTGGGATTATAGGCATGAGCCACCGTGCCTGGCCTTGCAGAGAATAATCTGAATTCACCATTGTTGGGGGTGGCAGTACAATCAGTGTTCAGTTTGTCAAGAGTTTCTTATAGTCAAGCTGTAAAGGCTGAAGGGACTATTATTGTTACTCTCTCAGATTGCCTTCCCCAACTCTGAAATCTCTTTTCCCTTTATTGAATCTTTGTGGATTGTTCAACTCAACCCTCTAATTAACCACACTTGCCCATTAAATTGTGTTCTCCCTGTCTTGGAGGTTTTACCATTAAATGGCTTCTCTATAGTGGCTAGACCCTCCTAAATCTTTATCCCAGCTCTCCAAAAGATGGGGGAGATTCTTTCCTTTGGGCAGATGGGGAAACTGAGGTCCATGGAGGGGTCAGGGGAAAGGGGTCATTAGGTAAAGCCAATCCTTCCCAATCTACCCCTCTGTCACCATATGGAAGCAGTTGTGTTCTATTATTTACTGTGCCTTAAAGAACAAGATATTTTTCTCCCCACAGGAGTCTGTGTGAAGCAGCACAAGCGGTTGACCCAGGCCATCCAGAAAGCCAGGGATCATGGTGAGCATGAGACGGGGCACACAGCAGTTTTGTTTAGGTATAAGGAAGATGACTTAGGGCTAGAAAATGGATATAAATGCTCACACCTGTTCAAGATGGTAGCACCCAGCATGTTCTTCCTGACGTTACATTGTCCCCTGTCCTTTCTCCTGAGTGTCTTACTTTATCATTGTCCTGTCTCCTTGTTCTTTGTCTTTCCATCCTTTTCCCTCCTATTTTACAACTGCTGGTCTCAATGCCTTAGGAAGTTCTTTATATAAATGTCTGGCCCTGGACTACATGGCACTGCTGCATAAGTTAGTAAAAAGTATACCCCTCTGCTAGGGCAGATGCAGCTTCATAGTCCTTGTTCAGCACTGCACAGCTTTGTAAGCAAGAGCCCCAGCAGTATGTCAGCCCACACTTGCCCTCTGGGCCGGTCACCTGTTTGCAGTATACAACATGCATAAATGTACCTGGTGGCTCTGACTGGTCCTTCCCTTTATAATCCTTTTTCTTACTTCATCTAAACCACCCTCCTCATTGCCTCTTAAATTTCTTTTCTTTTTTAATCCCTTAGGTCTCCTCATTTACCACATCCCCCAGGTTGAACCACGGGACCTTGACTTCAGTACCTCTCATGGGGCTGTGAGTGCTACTCCGCCAGCCCCCACCCTGGTCTCAGGTGACCCCTGGTACCCATGGTACAACTGGAAACAGCCACCGGAGAGAGAACTGTCTCGCCTTCGCCGGCTTTACCAGGGTCATCTCCAAGAAGAGAGTGGCCCCCCACCTGAGTCAATGCCCAAGATGCCCCCTAGAACACCAGCGGAAGCCTCCTCCACTGGGCAGACAGGCCCTCAGAGTGCTCTGTAGGAGCTGTAGACTGGGAAGAGAGGCCAGGCGTGGTGGCTCACTCCTGTAATCCCAGCACTTTGGGAAGCCAAGGTGGGCTGATCACTTGATCCCAGGAGTTTGAGACCAGCCTGGGCACCATGGTGAAACCTCGTCTTTACCAAAAAATACAAAAATTAGCTGGGTGTGGTGGTGCACACCTGTAGTCTCAACTATTGGGGAGGCTAAGGTAGGATCACTTGATCCCAGGAGGCGGAGGTTGCAGTGAGTTGCAGTCACACCCCTGCACTCCAGCCTGGGTGACAGCTAGACCCTGTCTCAAAAAAAAAAAAAAAGACTGGGAAGAGAGCTAGAGGGACTAGGAGATAATGTGTATGTAGGTTTATGTGATGGGATATCACCCTGAAGAGTTGTGTCTTTTGTGGCCAGTGACAAATCCAGGAAATGAATGTTGCTGATAGGGATAAATCTTGAGGCTGAGGGCGGGTGGTACAGATGTGTATGGGAAACCCCAACCCCTATATATTGTAAATAGATGGGCTGGGCTAAACATTGTTGCCGTTTCATACTTCTACCAACTCAGCTTTTACACAATAAAGCTCTACTGTCTCTGGTTTGCTTTGGGCTGTTTCCGATGAATGCCATTAGCGGGGGGTGGGCTGAGTGATGGTCTTTTCATATAAGCAATTGGGTGATGCTGTGGGGAGATAAGTGGTCAGGCTTAAGCCAGCCTTGCCTGTGACGCCTGGGACTAGAAGCCGGGGATGGGCAGCTGTGCCACTCTGTCAAGATGCCTTGTGGGCCCCCACTCCACAGCATGGCCCACTGTTCACTGAGGGGATAAAAGGTTGGACAGTGAGACACTGGGCCAAGGAAGACTACGTTGCCATGGCACTCACTGCCGTGGGATGCAGGGATGGAAAGGAGTGGCACTGCTAGGGGCACAGCTGGTTTGGCAAGAAAAACGGGGGCCCTGTCAGTTGCCAGGACGCTAGGGGGCAAGGTCTACAGGCGGGGCTCCTGGAAATAAAGACTCCGAGAGGCGGTGCGGCGAGAGGAGGGGCGGAAGTGACGTCGTGTGGGGCGGGTCCGACCGCGCACAATGGGCCATGGAGTTCCCGTTCGATGTGGACGCGCTGTTCCCGGAGCGGATCACGGTGCTGGACCAGCACCTGAGGCCCCCAGCCCGCCGACCCGGAACCACAACGCCGGCCCGGTGACAGCTCAAACCCACCCTCTGGCCCTTTTCTCCCGGTTCCTCTCCAAACCTGGTCCAGGCACCACGCCCCCTTCTCACTGACTAGTGATCGCCCCTTTTGATGTCCAGGCCTGCCTTTTTGGTGACCTCTGACCCTGGGCCTAGTGGGATTGATCAGCGCTTGGATCTGTGACCTTTCACCCCGGGCCCAAAATGTCCCAATCAAAGGATGTGGTTGACCTGGCCTTTCTGCTTCCTCACAATAACCTTAAGGGAGGAGGGAGTGTGCCACCTTGAAAGGTGTGACAGAAGTTTGGGTTTCAGAAGGGTGGGGTGGGAAATCAGATTGGAAGACTCCCAGGCAAAGGCAGGGAGCCTTCAGTGTTAAACCTGGGTTGGAGTTGTGGCCCAGGTTCCCAGGAC
This sequence comes from Homo sapiens, assembly GCF_000001405.40. Taxonomy (NCBI): domain Eukaryota; kingdom Metazoa; phylum Chordata; class Mammalia; order Primates; family Hominidae; genus Homo; species Homo sapiens. The sequence goes on from NT_167247.2 coordinate 1,971,446, forward strand.
TGACTGCCTAGGACCCGCTAATTTAGTGAGTATCTGACTCTTTATTTCTTCTCTTTCTCTAGTGTTGATCTACAGCAGCAAATTATGACCATTATAGATGAACTGGGCAAGGCTTCTGCCAAGGTACTGGAGAGTTTTTAGATGGAGTAAAGGGAGGACCTCTGTGGGGATGGTATATAAGGGAGGCCTGGGTCCTTCGGAGAGACTTGCAGAAAGTCTGACTTAATCTTCCCTGCAGGCCCAGAATCTTTCCGCTCCTATCACTAGTGCATCAAGGATGCAGAGTAACCGCCATGTTGTTTATATTCTCAAAGACAGTTCAGCCCGACCGTGAGTGCCACATGCTCTTCCATCCCATACTTAATTCCTTCCTTCCTCAGCCCTTCCCCCATCTTTGACTATCTCTTGCAGATAGATACCACTAGCCTGTTCATTATTTTCCCCGTCCTACAGGGCTGGAAAAGGAGCCATTATTGGTTTCATCAAAGTTGGATACAAGAAGCTCTTTGTACTGGTGAGTGTTATTGGATGCTAGGAGTTCGTATACCTTGGTTTCTGAGAACAAAAGTGCTGGAGGTTAGGGGGCAGCAGAGATGCCGGGGTTCCTAAAACATTTTTATTGTTTCTCTCTTAGGATGATCGTGAGGCTCATAATGAGGTAGAACCACTTTGCATCCTGGACTTTTACATCCATGAGTCTGTGCAACGCCATGGCCATGGGCGAGAACTCTTCCAGTATATGTTGCAGGTATCACTGACCTCTTCACTGGTTCATCCAAACTAGGGGCTCCTTTGCCCTGAGCCCTTCCAGAAGCCCTGCCTCCCACCCCCCATGTTCCCATGTCATTCTATTCCCTTCCCAGGCTTCTGGCTTCCTGTTGGCATGCTTTCCCCATACTTCCTCCTACCCTGAGTCTCCTTTTCCCTGCAGAAGGAGCGAGTGGAACCGCACCAACTGGCAATTGACCGACCCTCACAGAAGCTGCTGAAATTCCTGAATAAGCACTACAATCTGGAGACCACAGTCCCACAGGTTAGAGGTTTCAGAGAATAGATCCCCACTGAGCATTCCCATTGAATTTATTTGTTATTTATGGCAAAGAAGTAGTGACTTATTTCCTATCACATAGGTTTCATTTTCTACAACCAGGCTCTTTCTTTCTCTTGTGGTACCATCTCTCATCCTGTAGTGACTTCTTTCTCATCTATTTTGATTTTTTTTTTTGAGATGGAGTCTCGCCATGCTGCCCAGGCTGGAGTACAGTGGCGCAATCTCAGCTCACTGCAACCTCCACTTCCTGGTTTCAAGCGATTCTCCTGCTTCAGCCTCCTGAGTAGCTGGGACTACAGGCACCCACCACCACACCCAGCTAATTTTTATATCTTTAGTGGAGACGGAGTTACACCATACTGGCCAGGCTGGTCTCAAACTCCTGACCTTGTGATCTGCCCGCCTTGGCCTCCCAAAATGCTGGGATTACAGGTGTGAGCCACCGCATCTGACTTTTTTTTTTTTTTTTTCAAAGCAGAGTCTCCTGCTGTTGCCCAAGCTGGAGTGCTATGGCAGGATCTTGGCTCACTGCAGCCCAACCTTCTGGGCTCAAGCGATACTCCTCCCTTAGCCTCCTGAGTAGCTGAGACTACAGGCATGCACCACCATGCCTGGCTAATTTTTTATTTTTTGTAGAGATGAGGTCTCACTATGTTGCACTGGGTGGTCTTGAACTCCTGGCTCAAGAGATCCACCTGCCTCAGCCTCCCAAAGTGCTGGGATTATAGGCGTGAGCCACTGTACCCAGACTTATTTTGATTCTTTACCACAAGTTGTTTCCTACACCTAATTTTTCTTTTTTTTTTTTTTTGTGAGATGTAGCCTTGCTCCATCGTCCAGGCTGGATTGCAGTGGCACGATCACAGCTCACTGCAACCTCTGCCTCCGGGGTTCAAGTGATTCTTGTGCCTCAGCCTCCTGAGTAGTAGGGATTACAGGCATGCACCATCATGCCCAGCTAATTTTTGTATTTTTAGTAGAGATGGAGTTTCACCATGTTGGACAGACTGGTCCTGAACTCATGGCCTCAAGTGATGTGCCCACCTCAGCCTCCCAAAAGTGCTGGGATTACAGGTGTGAGCCACCGCACACAACCCTTATGCCTAATTTTTTTTTGAGACAGAGTCGCTCTGTCACCCAGGCTGGAGTGCAGTGGCACGATCTCAGCTCACTGCAAGCTCCGCCTCCCAGGTTCACGGCATTCTCCTGCCTCAGCCTCCCGAGTAGCTGGGACTACAGGTGCCCACCACCATACCCAGCTAATTTTTTGTATTTTTAGTAGAGATGGGGTTTCACCGTGTTAGCCAGGATGGTCTAGATCTCCTGACCTTGTGATCTGCCCGCCTCGGCCTCCCAAAGTGCTGGGATTACAGGCGTGAGCCACCGTGCCCGACCCCTTATGACTAATTTTCAACCCAAACATAGCCAGCTCATTTTCACCTCCTTGTTTTCACATAGTTCATTACTCATCTGGTCAGTCAGTATTTATTAAGGGTCCAGAATAATATGCATTCCCTGTCCTCATGGAGCTTTGGCCTAATATAGGGAAGGAAGTCTTGTTTATAACTAAGTGCAGCAAAATGTTACTAATGCTACCCATTCATCCAATAAACATTGAGTGCCTGGCAGTGTTCTGGGCACTAGGAATGGTTTACTCAATGAAACAGACAACAGCCTGGGCAACATAGCGAAACTCTGTCTCTACAAAAAATACAAAAAAAAATTAGCCAGGCGTGGTGGCACGAGCCTGTAGTCCCAGCTACTTGGGAGGCTGAAATGGGAGAATCGCTTGAGCCTGGGAGGCAGAGGTTGCAGTGAGCCAAGATCGCGCCACTGCATTATAGCCTGGGCAACAGAGAGAGACCCTGTCTCCAAAAATGAAAACAAAAACAGAAAAAAAGGCCAGGTGCGGTGCGGTGGCCCATGCCCGTAATCCCAGCACTTTGGGAGGCTGACGTGGGCGAATCACTTGAGGTCAGGAGTTTGAGACCAGCCTGGTCAACATGGTAAAACCCCGTCTCTATTAAAAATACAAAAATTAGCGGGGCATGATGGTGGGTACCTGTAATCCCAGCTACCCAGGAGGCTGAGGCAGGAGAATCACTTGAACCCGGGAGGCAGAGGTTGCAGTGAACCAAGATTGCACCACTGCACTCCAGCCTGAGCGACAGAGTGAGGACTCCATCTCAAAAAAGAAAAAGAAAAAGGGCCAGGCATGGTGGCTCATGCCTGTAATCCCCACACTTTGGGAGGCCAAGGCAGGAGGATCACCTGATATCAGGAGTTCGAGATCAGCATGTGGAACATAGTGAAACCCTGTCTCTACTAAAAATATAAAAATTAACTGGGCATGATGGCGTGCGCCTGTAATCCCAGCTACTCGGGAGGCTGAGGCAGGAGAATTGCTTGAACCCCGGAGGCAGAGGTTACAGTGAGCCGAGGTCCTGCTACAGCACTCCACCCTGGGGGACGAAGCGAGACTCTTGTCTCGGAACAAAAAAAAAAAACAGAAAAAGAAGGGAACAGACAAAAGTCCCTGTCTTAGTGGTGGAGCTTATATTCTAGCTGGAGAGACAAACAAACATAATAAACAATATGGTTAATAAGTGCTCTGGAAAAATGAGAGCAAGTAAGGGTTTGGGAGTACTCAAGTAAGGTGGGGATGGGAGTATGTGGGATTGCAGGTTGAAAGGGGATCATCACTGAGAAAGTGTCATTTGAGCAATAACTGAAAGGAAGTAAGAGTAAAAACTGGCCGGGCACGGTGGCTCATGCCTGTAATCCCAGCACTTTGGGAGGCCGAGGCGCGCGGATCACGAGGTCAGGAGATCTAGACCATCCTGGCTAACATGGTGAAACCCTGTCTCCACTAAAAAAAATACAAAAAAATTAGCTGGGTGCCTGTAGTCCCAGCTACTCGGGAGGCTGAGGCAGGAGAATGGCGTGAACCCGGGAGGCAGAGCTTGCAGTGAGCCGAGATCGCGCCACTGCACTCCAGCCTGGGTGACAGAGCGAGACTCCATCTCAAAAAAAAAGAATAAAAACCAAGGCTGGGCGTGGTGACTTACATCTGCAATCCTAGTACTTAGGGAGGCCGAGGTGGGTGGATCACTTGAGCCCAGGAGTTCGAGACTAGCCTAGGCAACATGGTGAAACCCCATCTCTACAAAAAACACAAAAATTAGCCAGGTGTAGTGGCACGCACCTGTGGTCCCAGCTACTTGGGGGTCTGAGGCAGGAGGATTGCTTAAGCCCAGGAGGTCGAAGCTGCAGTGAGCCGAGATGGTACCACTGCACTGCAGCCTGGGTAACAACGTGAGACTGTCTCAAAACAAACAAACAAAAAAAAAGAGTAAGAGCCAAGAAATATCTGGAGAGAGAGCATCCCAGACAGAAGGTACCACCAGTGTATGGCCGTGAGGTGGGAGTGTGCCTGAAAGAGCAAATTGGCTGTGTCCAGAGCAGCATGAGTCAGCGGAGGAGTATGGTAGGAGATGAGACCAGAGAGGTAATGCGGAGGAGGGGCCTTATAGGCTACTGCAAAGACTGGCTTTTATTTTAAGTAAAAAATAAGATCAGGCCAGGGGTGGCGACTCACACCTGTAATCCCAGCACTTTGGGAGGCCGAGGTAGGTGGATCACCTGAGGTCTCTACTGAAAATACCAAAATTAGCTGGGTGTGATGGCAGGTGCCTGTAATCCCAGCTGTTTGGGAGTCTGAGGCAGGAGAATCACTAGAACCGGGAGGCGGAGGTTGCAGTGAGCCGCTGAAATTGTACCACTGCACTCCTGCCTGGGCGACAGAGCAAGACTCCTTCTTAAAAAAAAAAAAAAAAAAAAATAGCGCCAGGTGTGGTATCTCATTCCTGTAATCCCAGCATTTTGGGAGGCCCAGGCAGGTGGATCACAAGGTCAGGAGTTCGAGACCAGCCTGGCCATATGGTGAAACCCCATCTCTACTAAAAATACAAAAATTAGCCGGGTGTGGTGGCGGGCACCTGTAGCCCCAGCTACTTGGGAGGCTGAGATAGAAGAATCGCTTGAACCTGGGAGGCAGAGGTTGCAGTGAGCTGAGATCGCACTACTGCACTCCAGCCTGGATAACAGAACGAGACTCCATCAAAGAAAAAAGAAAAAGATCATTTTGGCTGTGATCTTGATTTTTTCCTTTTTAACAAGATCACTTTGGCTGTTAAGAACAGGCAATAGCCGGGCACAGTGGCTCACACCTGTAATCCTAGCACTTTGGGAGGCCGAGGCAGGTGGATTGCCTGAGGACTTCAAGACCAGTCTGGCTAACATGGTGAAACCCCATCTCTACTAAAAATAGAAAAAAAAATTAGCCAGGTGTGGTGGTGCTCGCCTGTAATCCCAGCTACTCGGGAGACTGAGGCAGGGGAATTGCTTGAATCAGGGAGGTAGAGGTTGCAGTGAGCTGAGATTGTGCCACTGCACTGCACTCTAGCCTGGTGACAGAGTAAGACCCCATATCAAAAAAAAAAAAAAAATGGAAACGGCAATAAGGGAGCCAGAGTAGAAGCAAGTAGACTAATTAGGCAGCAACAATCCTGGCGAAAAATGGTGGTGGCTCAGACCAAGGTGGTAGCAGTAGTGATGGTAAAGAGTGGTCAAATTTTAAATATTTTGAAGGTAAAGCAAGTAAGATTTCCTGACAGATTGTATGTGGAGAAAGAGGACTTTAGGACAATGCCAAAGCCTGAGCAGCTGGAAGAATGAAGTTGCTTTAACTGAGATGGTAGGTAGACCAGCTTTGGGGGAAATACTAGGAGTACATTTTTAATATGTTAATTGGAGATGTCTGTGATATGTCCAGGTTTGAGTAGACAGTTGGATACTTCCCTGGAGATCAGGGAGGAGGTTTGGGGAGGAGAGTTTTCAGCATACATCTGGTATCTAAAGCCAACAGACAGGATGCGATCACCATAGAAAGATTATAGATAGAGAAGCTGCCCCTTTGGGCCCTCTTTAAGAAGTGAGGACCCCCAGCTGGCTGCTCTGAAAAGCCATCTTTGCATTGTTCCTGGTTCGGTGTCCTGCTCACCACAGCCACCTCCGCCATGCACTTCCTCTGCTGCCTCAGAGTCTGGCAGCTTAATCGACATAGTCCCCAAACTCTCACTTTCTTCTTAATCCCTTGCATCGGATCACCGCTGTGCCCCACCATGTCAGAGGCAGTTGTGGACACAAGCTCCGTGATCACCACCAAGGACTTCAAGGAGAAGTTGTGGAGGAGGCAGAAAGTGGAAGAGACGCCCATGCTAACGGGAACGCTAATGAGGAAAATGGGGAGCAGGAGGCTGACAACGAGGTAGATGAAGAAGAGGAACAGGGTGGGGAGAAAGAGGAGAAGGAAGAGGAAGGTGATGGTGAAGAAAAGAACGGAGATGAAAACGAAGCAGCTGAGGCGGTATGGACAAATGGGCAGCTGATGATGATGAAGATGACGATGTTGATACCAAGCAGCAGAAGGCCAGTGAGGATGATTAGACAGCAAAAAAAGAAAAGTTAAACTTTAAATTAAGGCCACCGTGACCTATTCACCCTCCACTTCCCATCTCAGAATCTAAACATGGTTGCCCTCGAGAGGCCTGCTTGCCCTCCACAGACAGTGCCACTGCAGATGACAGGCACTCACCACCACCCAACCCAAACCAGAGAATTTGCAACAGAGGAGGAAAAAAGAACCAAAACTTCCAAGGTCTTGCTCTTTTAAAAGTACTTTAAAAAGGAAGTTTGTTTGTATTTTTTATTTACATTTTATATTTTTGTACATATTGTTAGGGTCATTTTTTTTTTCTTTGAGACGGAGTCTAGCTCTGTCGCCAGGCTCAAGTGCAGTGGTGCGATCTTGGCTCACCGCAAGCTCCACCTCCTGGGTTCAAGTGATTCTCCTGCCTCAGCCTCCTGAGTAGCTGGGATTACAGGCGCCCGCCACCACACCCAGCTAATTTTTGTATTTTTAGCAGAGACAGGCTTTCACCAGGTTGGCCAGGATGGTTTCTATCTCCTGACCTTGTGATCCACCTACCTCGGCCTCCCAAAGTGCTCGAATTACAGGCGTGAGCCACCGGCGCCCAGCCAGGTTCAGTCATTTTTAATGATCTCAGATGACCAAGCCAGCCTTTGGAGGGTTCTCTGTCTTACTTCTGACTTTACTTGTGGTGTGACCATATTCATTATAATCTCAAAGGAGGAAAAAAAAAAAAAAAAAAAACCTTGTTTAAAAAAAAAAAAAAAGCCTGGGCGCGGTGGCTCGCGCCTGTAATCCCAGCACTTTGGGAGGCCGAGGTGGGTGGATCACGAGGTCAGAAGATCGAGACCATCCTGGCTAACATGGTGAAACCCCCTGTCTACTAAAAATACAAAAAATTAGCCAGGCGTGGTGGCGGGAGCCTGTAGTCCCAGCTACTTGGGAGGCTGAGGCAGGAGAATGGCGTGAACCCGGGAGGCAGAGCTTGCAGTGAGCCAAGATTGTGCCACTGCACTCCAGCCTGGGCAACAGAGCGAGACTACATCTCAAAAACAACAACAACAACAAAAAGTCTCGTTCTGAGCATTCCAGTAGCTTCTTTAGTGTATGTAGTTAGTTGTACCATAAGTAGTTGGTTTGTGTGAGATGGTTAAAAAGGCCAAAGATAAAATGTTTCATTTATTTGCCTTTTTTGTCTATGAAATGGCTGCTTATTTATTTAGGCCTATTTGATGTATGTGTGAAACAATATTGTGCAACAATAAACCCAAATTTTATTTTGCTGAGTTGTTCTAACAGCAACAAAAAGAAGTTAAGGAAGAGAAGAAGACCAGCAAATGCAACCACAGAGTGACTAGTGAAGTAGATGAAAACTGAGGCCGGGTGTGGTGGCTCACACCTGTAATCCCAGCACTTTGGGAGGCCGAGTCGGGTGGATCACCTGAGGTCAGGAGTTCAAGACCAACATGGTGAAACCCCATCTCTACAAAAAATACAAAATTAGCCAGGCGAGGTGGCTCATGCCTGTAATCCCAGCTACTTGGGAGGCTGAGGCAGGACAATCACTTGAATCTGGGAGGTGGAGGTTGCAGTAAGCCGAGATCATGCCATTGCACTCCAGCCTGGGCAACAAAGCGAAACTCCATCTCAAAAAAAAAAAAAAAGAAAAGAAAACTGAAAAGTAAGGTGACCTCAAAGGCCACTGAAGAAAGTGTTTCCAGGAGGAAGGAATGGTTTACTTGGTCAAATGCTGCTGATCAAGGAGCAAAGAGGTCTGAGAAGTTACCATTGGATTTATCTGCGTTAGGCCATTGGTGATCTTAATGAGCAGTTTTGGTGCAGCGGTGTTTGGAAGCCTGGATGCAGTGGGTCTTGTAGACTGAGAAGCTAGGAACACAGCAAGAATAAGCTACTCTTTTAAATCCTGCTTTAATGGGAATAGAAATAGAGCAAGAGCTGGAGAGTGAAGTGGATCAAAAGAGTTGATCTTTTGCAGATGGGAGAACAAATAGCATTAGAATGATTCAGTAGAGAGAAAATATTATTATGTCAGAGAAAGTGGGGAGAACTGTTGAAGTGATGTCATTGAATGGGCGGCGGGGGCGTTGAGATTTGGTTGACAAGTTAGCCTTGGATAGGAACATGGACAGTTAATCCATTGTAACATGATTTGATAGATGTGATTACAGAGGAGGCATAAGGACATGGATTTGAGTGCTATCTTGGGCTGGGGGTTGGGTAAAGAAAGATGACATGTCTAATCTTGAAAGGCAAGTGTTTGTCAGGTGGACAAAAGGCTAAAGTGCATTTCATGTAGAGGAACAGGCATGAGCAAAGGCAGAAAGGTATTAAACCACCTTTCAGGCCAGGCGTGGTGGCTCACACCTGTAATCCCAGCACTTTGGGAGGCCAAGGTAGGCGGATCACAAGGTCAGGAGATCGAGACCATCCTGGCTAACACGGTAAAACCCCGTCTCTACTAAAAATACAAAAAAAATTAGCTGGGCGTGGTGGCAGGCGCCTGTAGTCCCAGCTAATCAGGAGGCTGAGGCAGGAGAATGGCGTGAACCCAGGAGGCGGAGCTTGCAGTGAGCCCAGATCATGCCACTGCACTCCAGCCTGGGCGACAGAGCAAGACACTGTCTCAAAAAAAATAAATAAATAAATAAAAATAAACCACCTTTCAGGACACTACAAGCAGTGTGGTGTGGTTGGAGTGCTGGGCATGTGCTTGTTGGGGGGTGGGGGTGATGAGGATGGGCTGGTAGACATTACAACAAGGTCAAGGCAAGGGATAGGCAGGGTCTTCCTACAGTATATTTTTCCATTAAGAGGCAACAGAGAGCAGTGGAAGGAGCACAGTTTTTTTTTGTTTGTTTGTTTGTATTTTGAGATGGAGTCTCAGTCTGTCGCCCAGGCTGGAGTGCAGTGGCACAATCTCAGCTCACTGGAACCTCTGCCTCCTGAGTCCAAGCAATTCTCTTGCCTCAGCCTCCTGAGTAGCTGGGATTAGAGGCGCCCACCACCACACCTGGCTAATTTTTGTGTTGATGAGGTTTCACCATGTTGGCCAGACGTCTCGAACTTCTGACCTCAAGTGATCCGCCCACCTCGGTCTCCCAAAGTGCTACGATTACAGCCGTGAGCCACCATACCCGGTCCTGGAGCACAGTATTCGATATGAAACACATTACCCAGTTAACATGTAAGGCCAGAGCAGTATAGAGTGTAAATAATAATTCACATTTCATGGGCTCTATGTGGTATCTATATGCATCATCTCAGTGGATTCTTGCACATCTTTTTGAGGTAGGTACTATTATTAAACCTATTTTGGGTTTATACAAATTAATGACTTAACCAAATTCACACAGCCAGTAAATAGTAGAGTCCACATTTGAACCCATAGCCATTTGCACCCAGTGAACTTTTTTTTTTTTTTTCTTTTTGAGGCAAGGTCTTGCTCTGTTGCCTAGGCTGGAGTGCAGTGGCACGATCACGGCTCACTGCAGTCTCTACCTCCTAGGCTCAAGAGATCTTCCCTACCAGCCTGGCCAACATGGCGAAACCCCATCTCTATTAAAAATACAAAAATAAGCCGGGCGTGGTGGCATGTGCCTGTAATCCCAGCTACTCAGGAGGCTGAGACAGGAGAAGAGCTTGAACCTGGGAGGTGGAAGTTGCAGGGAGCCGAGATGACACCATTGCACTCCAGCATGGGCAACAGAGTGAGATTCCATGTTAAAAAAAAAAAAAGGCCGGACGCATTGGCTCACGCCTGTAACCCCAGCACTTTGGAAGGCCAAGGCGGGCGGATCACGAGGTCAAGAGATCAAGACCATCCTGGCCAACATGGTGAAACCCTGTCTCTACTGAAAATACAAAAATTAGCTGGGCATGGTGGCGCATGCCTGTAGTCCCAGCTGCTCCGGAGGCTGAGGCAGGAGAATCGCTTGAACTCAGGAGGTGGAGGTTGCAGTGAGCTGAGATCTTGCCACTGAAGTCCAGCCTGGCAACAGAGCGAGACTCCATCTCAAAAAAGATCTTCCCACCTCAACCTCCCAAGTAGTTGGGACTACAGGCGCCCACCACTATGGCTGGCTGATTTTTTGTATTTTTAGTAGAGACGGGGTTTCACCGTGTTAGCCAGGGTGGTCTCGATCTCCTGACCTCGTGATCGGCCCGCCTCGGCCTCCCAAAGTGCTGGGATTACAGGCTTGAGCCACTGGGCCCGGCCCACGCCTGGCTAATTTTTAAAAATATTTTTGTAGAGATGAGGTCTTGCTATATTGCCCAGGCTGGTCTTGAACTCCTGGGCTCAAGCTATCCACATGAGCCACCATGCCCAGCCCCCATTAAACTTTTTTTTTTGAGATGGAGTCTCACTCTGTCACCCAGGCTGAAGTACAGTGGTGCAATCTCAGCTCACTACAGCCTCTCCCTCCTGGGGTCAATGGATTCTCCTGCCTCAGCCTCCTGAGTAGCTAGGATTACAGGCGCACGTCACCACACCCAGCTAATTTTTGTATTTTTAGTAGAGACAGGGTCTCGAACTCCTGACCTCAAGTGATCCACCCGCCTTGGCCTCCCAAATTGTTGGGATTACAGGCGTGATCCACCACGCCTGGCCCCCGAGTTTTTTTTTTTTTTTTGAGACGGAGTCTCTCTCTGTCGCCCAGGCTGGAGTGCAGTGTTGCCATCTCGGCTCACTGCAAGCTCTCCTCTTGAGTAAACTCTTAATGGCTACACTATTTTCCTGGCTAAAACACTGCAGCTGGAATCAGAAGTCTGAAAGTTGAGGCCCAGCCCTGCCACTTGTAGCTACTTGGCATTGGCCAAGCGAAGCCATGTCTCCAAGGCTGTATTTCCCCCAACCTTCTTTCAAATAGTGACTTCCAGGATTGTGAAGGCCAAATTAAATGTGAAAATATAATGAAGTAACTCTAAAATTAATAGTTACTAGTTATCAAAGTAGCATCCTGGCCTCCAGCATGTCTTCCCCTGACTTTCCCCACCCCTTGGAACCCTGCTGAATTTTTTATTTATTTATTTATCCTTTGAGACGGAGTCTCATTCTCTTGCCCAGGCTGGAGTGCAGTGGCACGATCTCAGCTCACTGCAACCTCCGCCTCCTGGGTTCAAGCGACTCTCCTGCCTCAGCCTCCCAAGTAGCTAGGATTACAGGTGCACACTGCCATGCCTGGCTAATTTTTTGTATTTATAATAGACACAGGGTTTCACCATCTTGGCCAGACCGGTCTTGAACTCCTGACCTCAAGTGATGCCTGCCACAGCCTCCCAAAGTGCTGGGATTACAGGTGTGAGCCACTGAACCTGGACTTTAGCACCTTTTTATGTGCTTATTGGCCATTTGTGTATCTTCTTTAGAGAAAAGTTTATACAAGTCCTTTGTCTGTTCTTAAATTGTGTTCTTTTTTGTTCTGAGAGTTTTTCATATATTCTAGATAGAACGCACTTATCAGATGTATGACTTGCAAACATTTTCTCCCATTCTGTAGATTGTCTTTTCACTTTCTTTCTTTTTTTTTTTTTTTGAGACGGAGTCTTGCTCCATCGCCCAGGCTGGAGTGCAGTGGCACGATCTCAGCTCACTGCAAGCTCTGCCTCCCGGGTTCACGCCATTCTGCTGCCTCAGCCTCCCGAGTAGCTGGGACTACAGGCGCCCGCCACCACATCCGGCTAATTTTTTTGTATTTTTAGTAGAGATGGGGTTTCACCATGTTAGCCAGGATGGTCTCGATCTCCTGACCTCATGATCCGCCCGCCTCGGCCTCCCAAAGTGCTGGGATTACAGGCGTGAGCCACCGCACCTGACCTTTACTGTACCTTTTCTGTGTTGAGGTATGTTTAGATACATCAGCTGAACCATTATGTTAGAATTGCCTACAGCTGGCTGAGCATGGTGGCTCACGTCTATAATCCCAGGACTTTTGGAGGCTGAGGCAGAAGGATCACATGAGCCCTGGAGTTTGAGACTGGCCTGGGCATCATAGTGAGACCCCCATCTCTACAAAAAGTTAAAAAAAAATTAGTAGCCAGATGTGGTGGCATGCACCTGTGGTCCTAGCTACTTGGGAGGCTGAGGTGGGAGGATCATTTAAGCCCAGGTTGATGCTGCAGTGAGCTGTGATGGCACCACTGCACTCCAGCCTAGGCAACAGAGCGAGACTCTGCCTCTCAAAAAAAAAAAAAAATTGCCTACAGCATTCAGTACAGTAACATGCTGTACAGGTTTGTAGCCTAGGAGCAATAGGCTGTATGATATAGTCTGGGTGTGTTGTAGGCTATAGTGTCTAGGTTTGTGTAAGTACACTCTGTGATGTTCACACAATGAAATCACCCAATGACGTATTTCTCAGAATGTATCCCCATCGTTAAGTGATGCATGATTGTATTTTGTTTGTTTCATCTTCCAGGTGAACAACTTTGTGATCTTTGAAGGCTTCTTTGCCCATCAACATCGTAAGTTTTTGCATTTTGTTGGTCACGTAGTCGGGGTGAGGGAAAGGAAAGAGCTGGACTCTTGGTCCTGCCGACCCCTCACTGAGGGGCCCCGCCGCTTCCTTCCTCACAGGGCCCCCTGCTCCCTCTCTGAGGGCAACTCGACACTCTCGTGCTGCTGCAGTCGATCCCACGCCCGCTGGTAAAGCCTGTATTGAAGGGGTGGAACTGTAGTGCAGTGATGGCTACTTACTCTAGATGCCACGGGGTACAGTGCCATCTGTGGGCAATTTTGGAAAATTCTAAAGCAACCCAAGTCTCCAGCAGTCATGACTGTTTGCCTTTGCCCTCATGGGAGCTCAGTGCATTTTATATTTGGCAAGACTTTTAACTAAGCAAGCTCATTGGGAGCCTGTTTGACAGCTGATATCAATGGACCCTCTTGCCAGTTCAGGTCCGTCAACATAGGCCAGAGTCAGGCTCCTTTGTAAACCCCAGGCTTCTGTTAGCCAGTGAGGGACAGGCTGGTGCAAACAGCCCTTCCATTTGCAGTCACAGAATAGTGACACAAATGGCCCAAAATTTAAATGTTACTTTTAGAAGATAACACTCAGAGTTTATAACATTTCCAACCAGATAATGAAATTGATATGGAGAAACCAAACCTCAGAGGCACTAAAATGCTGTCCAGATTCCCCATCCCATATACACACACACACACACACACACACACACACAAACACACTTACTGACAGTCTGAGCCCCACTCCTTCCTCTTCCTCACCACCTCCACCTTACCAACTTCTGACAGCTGTACAGTGCTTGCTTGCACAGAAGAGCCCCCTTCCTGAGCTGGCTCTGTGGCCAGGAAAGGATGTAACCACCATCCAAACAGCAGTCTGTAACCAGCTATGAGCATCACAGTGTCAGGCACTGAGAGGCACCTCAACTCGCTTTGGTTTCCAAGGCTTCTCCCATTTAGCTTGTTCAGAACCACAGGCTGTGAGAGGGACTGAGGGCCAACAAGGATGGTGAGGTCTCAGGCCTGCAGGGGAGGGTGCTGTGGATAAAGCTTAAGTGAATTTGCTGAGAAGTCTTTCATTTGCCACACATACATGATGGAGAATCTCTTGAGAGGGAAAGCCGGGAGCAAGTAGAGAAGTGAGGAGGGGGAGGCTGAACTTTGGACATTACATCAGCCTCCTGCTTACTCTGATAGCTCCCTTTCAGATGCCCATATTTATTTTCTTTTTTTTTTTTAACCTAATAAAACTTCAGTCTCTTCCCATTTTCGTATAGGAAGGAGAGATTGTGCCCTCCTTCCAAACCTCCCCTGACCTCTCCAGAGCAATTCCTGATTAACCAAGGGCTTTGTCCATCTCATCCAGAGGAACCCAGGGTCCTCGTTGGCCCGGCTGGGACCATTCCACTGCCCCAGAATACCAGGGGGCCATGACAGCACCCACTGACAGTAAGAGCTCACTTCCCTTGGCTGCCCTTCTCCTGCATCTCCCAGGCCCCCAGAGTCTCCCCTTCGATCTTTCTCCCTAGCTCTGTGTTTGGCCTACTCCTTCTGGCTTTCCTCAACAGTGTTCCACATTCCCCTCAAATTCCCTTTTGGTGTGCTGGCATTGCCATGGTGCTGCTCCTGCAAGTTCTCAGGAGGAACTGTGGTGTCAGGGAGCAGAGGTTTGGGGTTGGGGTATAGTGGCTGGGAGGAGGGGTGCAAAGTATGTCTCCTAACGCTTACCCTGCCTATGTCCCCTCCACTGCCAGCTCCAGCAAGGAAGCTGCCACCCAAGAGAGCAGAGGGAGACATCAAGCCATACTCCTCTAGTGACCGAGAATGTAAGAGGGGCAAGGGTCGGGTGTCTGGGCCTGGGGTACCTTAACACAAGGGAAGAGAATGCTCAGGGGACCCAGGGAAAGGATTCGTTCTCTCTAAAGACTCAGATTTCTTGGGCTGGGCATGGTGGCTCATGCCTGTAATCCCAGCACTTTGAGAGGCTAAGGCAGGCAGATCGCCTGAGTCCAGGGGTTCAAGACCAGCCTGGCCAACATGGTGAAACCCCGTCTCTACTAAAAATACAAAAATTAGCTGGGCACGGTGGCACGTGCCTGTAATCCCAGCTACTTGGGAGGCTGAGGCAGGAGAATGGCTTGAACCCAGGAGGCGGAAGTTGCAGTGAGCCAAGATCGTGCCACTGCACTCCAGCTTGGGTGACAGAGTGAGACTCCGTCTCAAAAAAGAAAAAAAAAAAAAAGAAAGACTCAGATTTCTCTTTTTTTCTACCAAAACCTTTGCTGTCATGACTCTCTTCCTTTTTTCTTCTTTTTCTGTCTTGCTCTTCATTCTCCCTGTCCCCAGTTCTGAAGGTAGCTGTGGAGCCTCCTTGGCCCCTAAACAGGGCCCCTCGCCGCGCCACACCTCCAGCCCACCCACCCCCCCGCTCCAGCAGCCTGGGAAACTCACCAGAACGAGGTCCCCTCCGCCCCTTTGTGCCAGAGCAGGAGCTGCTGCGTTCCTTGCGCCTCTGCCCCCCACACCCTACCGCCCGCCTTCTGTTGGCTGCTGACCCTGGGGGCAGCCCAGCTCAACGTCGTCGCACCAGGTAATAGGAGTTGAAGGGCTAAGGAGCCTCACAGCTATAAAAGAGGATGTTAGAAATGGCAAAGGGCAATTTGAATCCATCAGAGAGATGGATCAATAAGATGGGTGGCTTGGGGGGGGTCCTGAAACCTTTCAAGAAAAATATTTGTGCAAGTGATCTGGGAAAAAAATGCAGTGAAGGAGCAGAATAGGACCTTATATGGAGCCTAGGGACCCTGGCTTTAATGTGAGAGTTATGTGGAATGGTAGGAAGAACACCGAGATCCATCGAGTTGGGGGAACAGAGCCTTCTAAGATTGGGAAAATCTTCGCTTAATACTTGCTGGGGAAGGGGCAGTGTCTGACAGAGAGTGGGAAGCCACTGGCTTGTGTGCCAAGAGTCCATCGCAGCAGGCAGGGAGTGGGCATTTCCTTTATTTCTCTCCCTTTCTCTTCACCTCTGACTTCTCTGTTTTTCTCTCCCCCGCCCCCCGCCATTTCCCATCTCCCTTCCTCCCATCCATAACATCCTTCCACAGCTCCCTTCCCCGCTCTGAGGAGAGTCGATACTAACAGCTACCCTCTCCCTGCCCTGGGAGACCTGGGGTGGGCAGGGAACCCCTCCCTGAGAACCTCAGACCCACTCTTCCATTGCATCCTGTAGGACCCAGTGGAACCTGACAGAGCCCATAGGATTCCCTCTTCTACTTTCTTAGACAGCAGGGATGTCAGGGTCTCAAACTGCCTAACACTTTGTAGCTTTTCTTAACACAAAAGCACCCCTTCTCTCCTAACTTGGGCTCTGAATACTTTCCCAACAGGAAGTCTGATCTGTTGCCAGACTTCTTGGTTAGATGGCTCATACATTTATCTAGAGAAGCACACTCTTGCTTGCTGTCAAACTTTAGACCACCATGGAAGGTCTAAGGGCATCCTGTGCCAGGGAAACTTTTTAAGGAATTTTATCTATGGGATAAACCCCATATTCCCTCTAGTGTCTACTGGTGGCTCTAATACTGCTTTGTGCTGCCTGCCACACTTGCCCTTTGAGCCTGCGAATGGCCGCTAGTGAGCAAGCTCTGCTTCAGAGCAGTCTAGTTAGGTAGAACAGGGACTTACCAGCTTCCCAAAGGGATCTACTCACCATTGCCAAACTCTTCATTTCCACATTTTGTGTAGGTGTCAGGGAACCCCAAACTGGTGTTGCTTTGGGGTCTCTAAAGGAGATTGGCTGACACCACCATTTCCCCCAGATCCAGATTCTCTGAGGGAGGTTGTTTCTTGAGAGTAGATCCAGAGTGTCAAGGATCTGTTAGATCCTGGAATCCCTTCTTGCATCCATCCCTCCCTGGTAGCTAGGTCCCGATATACTCCTGTCTTGTGAGATTGTCGAGATGAGATGGGGGACCACTCTTCCTCTGTCCTTCCTCTCTCCTTTCCTCCATAGCAAGGACGACCTTCCCTGCTCCATGCCCAGAGTATAGCTAGATCCCTTCCCCTCCCTACCCTCTGAATGTGTGCTAGATCAGGTGCCCCACTGTGTTTCCTGAAATCCTTGGGAGCCGGATCTCCCCATCTCCCCTACTCACTCTTCCCTTTTCTTCTCTCAGTGTTGTCTGAATAAAGTGTGAAATCTTTTGTGTTTTCTAAATTGACATTTTCAATGAAAAAAAGAATCACAAAAAAAAAAGTTGTCAGCCTCATTTGTGCGTCATCCCTTATTTTCCTGGGATCTCAGGACCTCTGTCCCTCTCATTTCTCACTTCTGAGATCTGCACATCTTTTACCCAGGAGCCTCAGAGCTCCTGAGTCTGGTGTCTGCCTATCCCCATCTTCACTGTTAGTCCTCCTGCAGATTCTGTGTCTCCTTTCATGTAGGTGCTGGATCCCTGTGTGTGGGCTTCCGTATCTACTCCCTCATTCCCTCCAGGAACCTCCAGCTCTCCCCAGTGACTTCTACCCTTTACTCTGGGCGTGCCTTTGCCAAGATGTCAAAGCTTACCAACATCTCTGGATCCACTAATTACCTCCTGCCTCCTGTATTCGTCTTCCCACTCTGATTACCTGACGTCTGCTCCACTAAACCGCTGGATCTCTCTCAAGACAAACCCTTACCTCCATTGAGAGTGCAACACAGTCTGTCACCCTATTTACAGAGGCCCCCTTCCTTTTCCTCCTAAATTCAAAATTCAGCCTTGTCACTTCCTATTTCCCTCTGGTCTAAGGAATCTTTTTTTTTTTTTTTGAGATGGAGTCTTGCTCTGTCGCCAGGCTGGAGTGCAGTGGCACAATCTCAGCTCACTGCAACCTCCGCCTCCTGGGTTCAAGCGATTCTCCTGCCTTAGCCTCCCAAGTAGCTGGGATTACAGAAGTGCACCACCGTGCCCAGCTAGTTTGTGTATTTTTAGTAGAGACAGGGTTTCACCATGTTGGCCAGGTTGGTCTCGATCTCCTGATCACGTGATCTGCCCGTCTTGGCCTCCCAAAGTGCTGGGATTACAAGCCTGAGCCACCGCGCCCAGCCTGGTCTAAGGAATCTTATAGTTAAGGTAACCCTGTTTTCCAAACCAAACACCAGAGTACCCGATCCAACACATTTTTGACCACATGTGAGTCTGTTCTTCTGACATGATTTGGATCACACCTAGCCATAGATTTAACACATTACCTCAACTAGAAAGAATAGAGCAATAAATCAGAAGCACTCCAGAAAATCTTGGGTATAAAATGAACTTCCCCCGCCCTTTTCTGGGGCACAGCTTTGATTAAAACCTGTTAGGAATGATAATTACCCCCTTCTCTTTGTTCCTGTGCTATTCCTTTTACTCCTCTCCTCTGATTCCTCCATACCCACCCATCTTTCATCCAGTAGCCTCCTCCCCATCATCTCCCATTTCTTCTACAGGGGGACTCCCCCAGGTCTGGTAGCCCAAAGCTGCTGCTACAGCCGCCATGGGGGGGTGAATTCCTCATCCCCCAATACAGGTAAGTATTCACTCCTCCCTACCCTCAAATCAAGTAGGCCACATTCACTGTCTACTCCTGCCTTCCCATTCACATGCCTGATATTTCCACAGGCAACCAAGACTCCAAGCAGGGAGAACAGGAAACAAAGAATAGGTGAGGTCTAAACCCCTCCCCTAACAGCCTCCCACCACCATCTGACTCCCTTCCTAACATCATTCTCAGTCACTTCCTACTCTTAAATCTTATTGTATGAACTGGACACCAGCTCCTCCCACAATTCCTTCTACCTTACATCCTGCAAGCCCCTTTCCCCCACAGGTTCAACTCTGGTACTTCCCTTTGGAATACGGATTCTCTGAGAGGTTTTAAATTTGGACATAGCACTAATGGTTCCAGCTTCATACCCATCATGTGTCCTACATTAAAACCTGGCCCGAGACCTTGAAGAGTCTGTAATCTTAATTTCCTCTTTAGTATTCCTATAACCCACTCTCCATCTCCCCACCTACCAGGTCTGCCAGTGAGGAGCAGGCCTTGTCACAGGATGGGTCTGGGGAGAAGCCCATGCACACAGCTCCTCCACAGGCCCCGGCCCCGCCAGCCCAGTCCTGGACAGTGGGTGGGGACATACTCAACGCCAGGTTCATTCGAAACCTGCAGGAACGTCGCAGCACCAGGCCTTGGTGACCGCAGCCCCGTCAAACATCTTCAAAGTATTATTTCTCCCTCACTACAGGAAAGAGCCAAAGCCCAACCCTCATAATAGATGGATACATTCATTCATTCATTCATTCAGCAGGCTTATCAGATTCAAGTCATTTGTATCTTTTAACCAGACCAATAAAAGTATTTATTTTTATCACAAGAGCTGTTGAAAAATTTGACTCATTATTTCAGCCGCCTCACCCCTCACTGTCGTTGCACCCATTCAGCCTTCAGCCCTGTTTTTGCTCAGCTTTTTGCTCAAAGGCCTCAGCTGTGAATACAGCGCTTGGGGGGGCGGGGGAGGCTGTAACTTGCGCAAGCGCACTCAGGCAGTCTCCGAGCCCGCGGGCGCAGGCGCGCTTACAGCCGACAGAGCGCTTCAGCCGCTTCCCTCGAGCCTGCAGTGCGCAAGCGCGGGACATCTCCGTTTCCCTCCCTCAGCCCCTTCCCCCCCTACCCCCCCGCCCCGGCCTCCTTTCCCCTTCACGAAGCCGGCTCTGGGGCGCGCTCACCCCTGTGAGGAGGCCGGAGGTCGGACTCAGGAGGCTCCTTCTCCACTCCCGGAAGATCATGTACCAGCCCAGCCGGGGTGCGGCCCGGCGTCTCGGCCCTTGCCTGCGCGCCTACCAGGCTCGACCCCAGGTGAGCGGAGGAGAAGAGGGAGGGAGGAGAGGGGGCGGGGAGAGACCCTCCTCAAAGCCGGTGCGTGGGGCGGAGCGCGCGCTGGGTTCCGCGCAGGCGCAGAGACACCCGCCGCCCCTTCCCACCTGTGCCCTGCAGCGCGTGGACAGGCTAGGGGTCGCGGGAGCGGGAGGGAGGCGCTGCCGGGCCTGTCGCGCAAGGACGTCGGTCCTCCCAGGTTTGAGGGCGGTCAGGCGGGGTCAAGGCCAGGCAGCGGGGCGCGTCTGCGTTGCGCCCGACTCTCCGCGGTTACCTGTGCCTAGAGGTGATTTGAAGGGCAGGGGCCGAGAGATTCGTAGCCCTGCTGCGGCGCCGTCCCGGAGTTCCCCGGCCCAGACCAGACCCGCGGGGCGCCCTCAGCAGCCCGCCCGTCTTGCACTCGGAGAGCGGTCCTGGCAGGAAGGCCGGCCAGTGTGCACCCGGTTCGGGCCCCTGCGCCCGGGCTGGCAAGATGGCCACGCCCCCAGCAGAGACGGCGCCTCTAGGACACCATCGGGGACCGAGGTACCCGAGCGGTCCGCCCGCCTTCCCTGCAGTGAGACGATCCCCTGGGGGGTTCCTTGGGAGCGGAGGGACTCGGGTGAGGCCTAACTTTGGGTGACCTCCCCTTGCAGTTTCAACGTCGGTAAACCCAGGAGAGTGAAGGCCAGCCTTTAACTGTCTCCTGAGGTTGTGTCTGTCATTAGAGGGGCCCGAAATGATAATAGCTTCCATTTATGTACTGCTTTCTAGGTCGCTACGTTTTGTTTACATTCATTATTTCATATAGGCCTCATAACCCAGTGAGGCTTTATTGTTCTCATTTATAGGACATTTGTAGGAAGCGGAGGCATAGGGAATGAGAATGCCTAAAGTTACATGATAGAATTCAGATTCCTAGCTTCAGCTGGATATTCTTTTTTCTCTGTACATTTGCCTCGCACACTTAATCATGGAGATGTACAGGCCACAGCATTTAATCCACAGTACAATAAAACCTGTTATTCGTTAACTCATCAAGTATGTATTACATGATTCTTGCGATAAGAGAGGTGAAACTGCCCCCAGTGTTGGAATCTTTTTTTTTTTTTTTTTGAAATGGAGTCTTGCTCCGTCACCCAGGCTGAAGTGCATTGGCACCATCTCGGCTCACTGCAATCTCCGTCTCCTGGGTTCAAGCAATTCTCCTTCCTCAGCCTCCCGAGTAGCTGGGACTACAGGCTCCCGCCACCACACCCGGCTAATTGTTTTGTATCTTTAGTAGAGATGGGGTGTCACCATATTGGCCAGGCTGGTCTCGAACTCCTAGACCTCGTGATCCGCCCGCCTCGGCTTCCCAAAGTGCTGGGATTACAGGCGTGAGCCACCGCGCCCGGCCACATTTCTTTAAGATTCCAACACTGGGCCGGGCACGGTGGCTCACGCCTGTAATCCCAGCACTTTGGGAGGCCGAGGTGGGCGGATTACCTGAGGTCAGGAGTTCGAGAACAGCCTGGCCAACATGGTGAAACCCCATCTGTAACTAAAAATACAAAAATTAGCCGGGCGTGGTGAAGGGTGCCTGTAATCCCAGCTACTCGGGAGGCTGAGGCAGGAGAATGGCTTGAACCCAGGAGGCGGCGGTTGCAGTGACCCGAGTTCGCGCCAATGCACTCCAGCCTGGGCGACGGTGAGACTTCGTCTCAAAAAAAGAAAAAAAAGTAAAATGTCTGCTAGGTTTTGGGAGGTGCCGGTATTTATGTCACATAAAACAGTTTGCTCGGCTGGGCGCGGTGGCCCACGCCTGTAATCCCAGCACTTTAGGAGGCAGAGGCGGGTGGATCACGAGGTCAAGAGATGAAAACCATCCTGGCTAACATGGTGAAATCCTGTCTCTACTAAAAATACAAAAACTAGCTGGGCATGGTGGCGCGCGCCTGTAGTCCCAGCTACTCAGGAGGCTGAGGCAGGAAAATCACTTGAACCCGGGAGGCGGAGGTTGCAGTGAGCTGAGATCGTGCTACTGCACTCCAGCCTGGCAACAGAGCGAGACTCCATCTCAAAATAAATAATAAAATAAAATGGTTTCCTCCTGTTTTCAGTAGAGATGGAGATGAATCCATCCCTTTTTTCCTATAGTAATTCCATCCATTCTGTCAGGAGGAATAGGTATTGGAAGCCTGTTGAGCATCCAGGGGATCAAGGGGTGTTAGACAAGTGGATTCTTATCTTTCTCCCTTCTGTTCTTTCTCCTTAGGACCAGCTTTATCCAGGGACTCTACCATTCCCACCCCTTTGGCCCCACTCCACGACAACCACTTCCCCATCTTCTCCTCTATTCTGGTCTCCCCTGCCCCCACGCCTTCCCACCCAGCGTCTTCCCCAGGTTCCCCCACTACCTCTCCCTCAGATCCAGGCCCTCAGCTCAGCATGGGTGGTTCTCCCTCCAGGAAAGGGGGAGGAGGGACCAGGACCTGAGTTGCATAGCGGCTGCCTGGATGGGCTTAGAAGCCTTTTTGAGGGACCTCCCTGCCCCTATCCTGGGGCTTGGATACCTTTCCAAGTCCCTGGAACTGCCCACCCTTCCCCTGCCACCCCGTCAGGAGATCCTAGTATGGAGGAACATCTGTCTGTCATGTATGAGAGACTGAGACAAGAGGTAAGTCAGTGCAAAAGTGGCCTTCGTCTACAGTGGGAAGGATGTGGGTAATCCTTGGACGTACAGGGATAGTCAACTGGATTCTTTTTTGGAACCATGAGGCAGGCATAGAAATATATTATAAACATTTTCCTGAGAAAATGATGTTCCAGCCAGGCACGGTGGCTCAAAGTGCTGTAATCCCAGCACTTTGGGAGGCTTAGGCAGGTGGATCACCTGAGGTCAGGAGTTCAAGACCAGCCTGGCCAACATGGTGAAACCCCATCTCTACTAAAAACACAAAAATCAGCCAGGCATGGTGGCAGACGCCTATAATCCCAGCTACTCAGGAGGCTGAGGCAGGAGAATCGCTTGAACCCAGGAGGCGCAGTGAAAGGAGATATCTCCATTGTACTCCAGCCTAGGCAACAGAGCGAGACTCCGTCTCAAAAAAAAAAAAAAGAAAGAAAATGATGTTCCTCATTTTGGGTTAAGGGAGGTTAATCATGGGATGAGATCTTTCACTCCAAGATGGGAGTAAGGAGGCCTTAAAAATAGAAAACTGGGCCTGGCACATGGCTCACGCTTATAATCCTAGCACTTTGGGAGGCCGAGGCAGGCGGATCACAAGGTCAGGAGTTCAAGACCAGCCTGGCCAACACAGTGAAACCCCGTCTCTACTAAAAATACAAAAATTAGCTGGGCATGGTGGTGGGTGCCTGTAATCCCAGCTACTCGGGAGGCTGAGGCAGGAGAATCGCTTGAACCTGGGAGGCGGAGGTTGCAGTGAGCCGAGATTGTACCTCTGCACTCCAGCCTGGGCGACAGAGCTAGACTCCATCTCAAGCCTGTAATCCCAGCTACTCGGGAGGCTGAGGCAGGAGAATCGCTTGAACCTAGGAGGCGGAGGTTGCAGTGAGCTGAGATTGTACCTCTGTACTCCAGCCTGGGCGACAGAGCTAGACTCCGTCTCAAAAAAAAAAAAAAATTAGAAAACTGAAAAATAGGATTATCTTTTCTTTCCCACTGGGTTGATGCCATCTTCTTCCACCTAGCTTCCCAAGCTCTTCCTTCAGTCCCACGACTACAGTCTGTATTCCTTGGATGTGGAATTCATCAATGAGATCCTCAACATACGTACCAAGTGAGAATTGGGGCACAGGTAGGGCACTGGGGAGGAAAAGCACCCAAAGGTATATACATGACCCTTTTCACTTCCCAGAGAAGTTCCTAGACTGCTTCTCACAGCTGTTCCCCATTCCTTAGAAGCCAGTTTGGTTTTCTAATTCTGCCATCATGAGATTTCTTTCCCATCCCTTCTTCACAGGGGCCGGACATGGTACATTCTTTCACTGACCCTCTGCCGTTTCCTGGCCTGGAATTATTTTGCACACCTTCGTTTGGAGGTTTTACAGCTGACCCGCCACCCTGAGAACTGGACCCTGCAAGCCCGGTGGCGGCTTGTGGGGCTGCCCGTCCACTTGCTCTTTTTGCGGTTCTACAAGCGTGACAAAGACGAGCATTACCGGTAAGAGAGAAATGAGAAAGGACCCAAACTATAATCAGTTCCTTTTTTTTTTTTTTTTGAGACGGAGTCTCACTCTGTCACCCAGGATGGAGTGCAGTGGCGTGATCTCAGCTCACTGCAGCCTCTGCCTCCCGGCTTCCAGCAATTCTCCAGCCTCAGCCTCCTGGGTAGCTGGAATTACAGGCACACCATCACACCCGGCTAATTTTTGTATTTTTAGTAGACAGAGGGTTTCACCATGTTGGCCAGGCTGGTCTCGAACTCCTCACCTTAGGTGATCCACCTGCCTTAGCTTCCCAAAGTGCTGAGATTACAGATGATCTAGTCTCCCAGACAACCCTTGACCTATCCTCACTTGACTGTTTAAGGACAGGGATCCTGTTTAGTTTATGTTAATGTTAAAAAAAAAATAGAGACTGGGTATATTAGAAAAACCTCTGAGCTTCAGTTTCTTCCTATACAGTGCCTAGCACATGGTAGGTACTCAAATACTTACTGAACAGACTGGGTGTGGTGGCTCATGCCTGTAATGCCAGCACTTTGGGAGGCCGAGGTGGGCGGATCACTTGAGGTAAGGAGTTGGAGACCTGCCTGGCCAACATGGTAAAACCCAAAAAAATACAAAAATTAGCCCAGTGTGGTGGTACACACCTGTAGTTCCAGCTACTTGGGAGGCTGAGATGAGAGAATCACTTCAACCTGGGAGGTTGAGGTTGCAGTGAGCCGTGATCACATTACTGGACTCCAGCCTGGGTGACAGAGTGAAACCCTGTCACACACACACACACACACACACACACACACACACACACACACAAAAGTACTGAACAAATGAAAAGTCCTGTCTCATATGTTGAGCCTTACAACCTGGTAAATTTCCGCCTGGGAGTAGAATCCCAATAAATTGTTAGACTCAGCCACAAACATTGGATATAAGTTTTTAAACCAGCAGTTCCCAAACTGCTGCACAGTAGAAATGCCCAAGGATCGTTAAAAAATATTGACGCCAAACACTCTGATTTAATTGAGACAGGGCACAACCTAAGCACTGAGATGTTTGTAAGTTGCCCAGGTGATCTAATATGTAGCAGAATTTAGGGACTACTCGTTTAAACAAATGCTTGAATTCAGCTTTGGGACCAGTCACCTTCTCCCTCAGTAAGCCTCCCTCTATTCCCCAGGACCTATGATGCCTACTCCACTTTCTACCTGAATTCCAGTGGCCTCATTTGTCGCCATCGTCTAGATAAAGTGAGTCCTAGGTAGGGCTGGGTGGGGTAAAGGGTAGAACATTTGTGTGCCTCCCCCAACTGGCATTAACCTTTCTCCCTGCAGCTGATGCCTTCACACTCACCTCCAACGCCTGTGAAGAAGCTGCTAGTGGGAGCCCTGGTGGCCCTGGGGCTGTCAGAGCCAGAACCTGACTTAAACCTGTGTTCCAAGCCCTGATCCTTGACCTTGGAGTGGAGGCAGCACTGAAGACTGCTACGCCCAAGAGAAGGAGGTGGAGGCAGCCAAGAATCTCAGGAGCCAGCTTCCTCTCCTCGTTTCTCTCCTTCCTTCCTTTCCATCTCATGCTGTGTAAAGCTGCTGTGTAATTTAACTTGTAAATAATAAAGTTTAACTGACTATATGAGATAGAATTTCACATATCACTTTCTCTAGATCCCAAATGTTCCCACAAGCTTTATTCCAAAAATAATTTTATTTAATAGGTATTAAATAATGTATAGAAGGAAAAGGAGCTGGTGTCAGGTTCTGTTTACGTCCTTCTCTTACCCTAGCTCTTCTCGTGTTTTGCCTATTTTTTTGGGCATTTTCTTAGCATGGGGATCTTCTAGCTCCTTGGCCTTATAATAATGGGGAGCCACCTCCAGAAGCCAACTGCTCTCAATCTCCAGTACCTAGGAGAGAGAAAAGATCAATGGAGTTCCCTTCTTTCCAACATAGATCTTTTGTTGTTGTTATTTTTTTTTCTTAAATTGAAACAGAGTCTTGCTCTATTGCCCAGGCTGGACTGCAGTGGCGTATCATGGCTCAAAGCAGTCCTACTGCCTCAGCCTCCCAAGTAGCTGAGACTACAGGCACACATCACAGTGCACCATTAATTTTTTGTATAGTTGGGGTCTCACTATGTTGCCTGGGCTGATCTTGGCCTCCCAAAGTGCTAGGATCCTGCCTTGGCCTCCCAAAGTGCTGGGATGGTTTACAAAAATGAGCCACTATGCCCAGCCCCAACCTAGATCCTTATGTGTATGGTCAAAAGTTATCTTTCCTCTTTGACTGCAGGGCTAGGTGTAAAGGTGCCTGGCTCTATTATTATATACCCAAAGGGCAGATACACCTCTGTATGTTATTCAAGATACCAAATAAGCTATTCCCAAGAAAAGTCTAGAACAACATGCCAGGCACAGTGGCTCACACCTGTAATCCCAACACTTTGGGAGGCCGTGGCAGGCGGATCATGAGGTCAGGAGTTCGAGATCAGCCTGGCCAACATGGTGAAACCCAGTCTCTACTAAAAATATAAAATTAGCTGGGCGTGGTGGTGGGCACCTGTAATCCCAGCTACACTGGAGGCTGAGGCAGGGGAATCACTTGAAACCGAAGGCGGAGGTTGCATGAGCTGAGATGGTGCCACTGCACTCCAGCCTGGGCTACAACAGCACGGAACTCTCAAAAAAAAGAAAAGCCTAGAACATAAAGACTATACTCTGTGAGACCAGAGACTGCTTTGTTCATTATAGCCCCAGCACCTATACAGTAGCCATTCAAATATTTATTGAATAAGTGTCTAGTTCTCAGATCTTGGAAGATGCTGACACACCTGTTAGAAAGGATGTCTTTGGGCTGGGCATGGTGGCTCACACCTGTAATCCCTGCACTTTGGGAGGCCGAGGCAGGCATTTGAGACCAGCCTGGCCAACATGGTGAAACCTCATCTCTACTAAAAATAACAAAAATTAGCCAGGCCTGGAGGCTTGCGCCTGTAATCTCAGCTACTTGGGAGGCTGAGGCATGAGAATCTCTTGAACCCCAGAGGCAGAGGTTGCAGTGAGGCTAGATTGCGCCACTGCACTCCAGCCTGGACAACAGAGTGAGACTCCGTCTCAAAAAAAACAAAAAAAAACAAAGGATGTCTTTCTATTTTACCCTACCTTCCTCTTTCTGTACCAGTCCCAGCAACTTGAACCTGGGTTCTTAGCTTGCCAGGACACCATCTCTCTACATAGTCTCCACCTGCGTGGGCACAGGATGTTCTCCTCACCTGTCTCATGAACTCTTTGGTGGTCAAGACAAGTTCGTGGTAGAGCAGCCAGCGTGGCTGTTGCTCAAAGAGGGAGGAGTTGGGATGAATGAAGACTGTCTGCTGCTGTTTCACTGTGCGGTAGCCACTCCGAGTCAACCGTGCCGTGTGGTAAAAGTAACCAGCAGTGATGGCCTAAGGAGCGGGCAGGAAAGAAAATCAATGGAAAAGGCAGACATCTGGGGACCCTAAGAATGCACTACCTTTTTAGTTCAGGCTTCAGGAAAACTAGAGAGGTAAGGAATGCATGAAGAACTTCCCAGGAATGAACCTTCAGTGGTCTGGGGAAGAAAGGGCCCTGGGAGGACACGTCATACACAAGGGGAAGAGGGCATGCTCTCACGCTGGAGGAAATGCTGCATGCCCCCAGAGAAGCTTGCTCCTGGGAAGGTACTGGGGGTGGAAAGCAGGAGGCTGAAGAAATGCTGACCTTGCGTACACGGATATAGTCCCCCTGGCAGGAACTGAGACCAACTTCCACACGTTCCAAGAGCCCTTCCAGCTGTTCCCGCACATCCCGGGCTCGGCGCATCGATCTGAACTGTACAAAGTTCTCATAGCACCACTGGGAAGAGTAACCACTCTCAGCCCACTGGGAAGACAGTTAAAAAGAAAGGAGAGATAATTAAGTATACAGCAGGACTAAAGTCCCCCAGTGTCTCTCATTCCCACTCACCCAAGCCCAGTGACCTGTGTGTAAACATTTAGCAGAACCAGGTGGTCACCGCCAGGGAGAAAGAAGTTGACACGGGCATTGTCAGCATGGACGACCTTGTCCTTTGGTCGGTAGAAGATGGAGTTGTTGACAGAGAGCATGGCAGCCACTGTCAGGATCTCCTCTGAACAGCTGTACCTGGGACAGGAAGGGGAAAGCATGAGTTCAAAGCAAGACACATAGGAACAGATATGGTGGAGTGGGGAGTGATCACTGTGTGATGGATGTTTCCTCATGTGGGGAAGGCTGGTTGGCATAATGGCTACAAAGCAGCCAGCAGATAGATTCTGGCAGCAGCTTGGGGGTCAAGGAAGTAGGGGCCATAGATGAAACACAGTCACAAAGGAGGGACATCCATGGAGGCAGGAGCAGGAAACACCGGGGAATTCTGAGGCTTCTGCAGAAAGTGTGCATTCACTATGTGCATTTGGAAAAGATCTCTGACAGCAGAGGAATGGCATTTAAAGGTCATCCCTCCACAGCTACATCTAAATGTTCTAGTTGGAAACCTTAGGAACAAGTAAGTTCCTCAAGGGGCCGGGCGCAGTGGAATCAAGGATAGGATCAAGTGTCTTACCCTTGTGGGCCTCAAAAGGGGGCAATCAGAGTTATCTAATACTTTATTATGTGTTAAGGGATAGTATGATGAACAGAAAAAGACAGACAAAGGGGACCCTGGAGACAGAGGAGGCCTGGCCTGTTTGTGTGCTGGGGGCCCAGGTGGAGGCGAGGGCTTACTTCTCAGAGGCTAAGATCATTTTGGACAGCATGGGGTCCACCGGCAGCTCTGCCATCTTTCGACCAGACTAAGGAGAAGAGAGAGAGAGTTGAGCCCAGTCCTCCCTCAGGTTTCCCGCTACTACTACAGGGGTCCCTGGAGCCATCCTGACCCCTATCATCCTGCCTCCACCCATGCTGTCCCCCGACTCACCGTGGTGAGCTCCCCAAGGTGGTTGAGGGCTCCCAGAGCATACAGCTGCTCCAAAGCCAGCAGCAGTGTCTCATATGGTGGAGGGTCCAGGAAATCAAAGTGCATTAGGTCATGGATCCCTAGAAAGAGGTGTGATGGATGGAACAGAGTCCCTTCAAAGGACAGTGACTCCAGCCCCTCCCTCCTCTCTCAGGTAGCCCAATCACCTAAGCTCTTGAGCAGCAACACGACATTGCCCAAGCTGGTCCTCTGGATCTCAGGCACTGTGGTTTCCTCAAGCTCGTGCTGATAGGCCCAGGCGGTATACAGGCGGAAGCACTTCCCTGCAGCCACCCGACCTGCCCTGCCAGCTCGCTGATTGGCTGAGGCCTGGAAAGAAAGGGGAACAGGCTGGCTGACAATTTGGTCAGGGAAAAGAAAAAGGCAGTATTTATGCAAGAAATCTGGAAGGATGCAAACTGCTCATCCCGGTTCCCTAGGAAGCCCCCACCCTGCTTCTGAGTTGGACCTTCTCTGTGGGCCAACTCCACCTCCCCCACTCCCATGCATCCCCAGGCTGACCTTGCTGCAGGGTGTGACAGTGAGCGATTCCATGCCTGTGCGGGGGTTGTAGCTCTTCTGCTTACAGAACCCTGGATCCAGCACATAAATGATGCCCTCAATGGTGAGTGATGTCTCAGCAATGTTCGTTGCCACAACCACCTGAGTGATAGGATATGGGGTCACCCAGTGACCCCACCTACCTAGTTACCCAGAAAAAGTAATCTTGGAAAGTTAGGAGTAGTGAAGCAGTTGCAGTAAGGGGCAGGAGCTGAGGGAATTAGTAGTATCCAAGGTCAGGAGCAGGGGACAAGGCCAGAAGACAGGGGACAGGGAAGTGGGGGCTGGGAGTCAGCAGGGCCATAGGAGGAAAGGAAATGGAGAAGAGGATTTAGGGTTTTTTTTTTTTTTCAGAGATGGGAAATGGGGGTGTTCAAGTTCCTGCCCGATCCTCCCCATCACCGCTTTCGTCTTCACACAACACTTCCTGTAAGAGCCTCCTAACGTGTATCCCTGCTTCTGCTCCTAGCCTCTGTCACATGGCATCCAGGATGGTCCTTTTAAAATACAAACCTGTCACATCACTCCCCATCCTTCAGTGGCTTCCTATCCTACTCTAGAATTCAATCCAAGCCCCTTAAAAGCCTGGATCACCTACCCCAGCTGCCTTTCTGACCTCATCTGCTAGCACTCCACCACCTCCCTCACTCCTCCCACACACTGCTTTGCTCTGCCCAAGTAAGTGCACTCCTCACTGGATCATTTGCATCAGCTATTCCCTCTGTCTGGCATACTCTTCTCCCAGATATCAGCCTGGCTCCCTCCCTCACCTGGTTTGGGTCTCTATTCCACTTTCCCCTTACTGAAGAGGCCCTCCCTACACCCCAAGGAAAATACCTTCATGCCAGTCCTCACTCCCACCCCACAGAGTCAAGTTCCATCCTACTATGCTGCCTTGTATCTCTTCATAGCACTGGCCACAAATTGACAATATGTATTTATGCATCCACTGCTTCCCCGATAGACCACAAGTGCAAGTTTGTTAGGCTAAGGACTTTGTTTTGTTCATCACTGTATCATCAACCCCTGTGTACCTGACACACAGAAGGAACTCATTAAATATTTGTTGAATGAAAGTTATATCTCTGCTCAAAATCCTTTGACTGCTACTCAGCTGTCTAAAGTCCAAACTTCGCCAAGCACAGTGGCTCATGCCTGTAACCCAGCACTTTGAGAGGCCAAGGCAGGCGGATCACTTGAGTCCAGGAGTTCAAGACCAGCCTGGCCAACATGGCGAAACCCCATCTCTACTAAAAATTAGCTGGGTGTTGGCCAGGCATGGTGGCTCACGCCTATAATCCCAGCACTTTGGGAGGCCAAGGTGGGCAGATCACCTGAGGTCAGGAGTTTGAGACCAACCTGGCCAAAATAGCGAAACCTCATCTCTACTAAAAATACAAAAAATTGGCCAGGCGTGGTGGAGGGCACCTGTAATCCCAGCTACTGGGGGGCTGAGACAGGAGAATCGCTTGAACCTGTGAGGCAGAGGTTGCAGTGAGCAGAGTTGGTGCCACTGCACTCCAGCCTGGGCGACAGAGTGAGACTCCATCTCAAAAAAAAAAAAAAAAAATTAGCTTGGGGTGGTGGTACACACCTGTAATCCCAGCTACTTGGGAAGCTGAGGCACAAGAATCACTTGAGCCTGGGAGGTGGAGGCTGCAGTGAGCCGAGATCTTGCCACTGCACTCCAGCCTGGGCAACAGAGCGAGACTCTGTCTCAAAAAAGAAAAATAAATAAAGTCCAAACTTTCCTGTCATCAAAGGCCCTCCCTAATCTTAGCCCCAAATTGTTTTTAGCCTTGTCTCCTACTCCTTCACCACATGAACCTCCCACTAAGCCTACTAGCTCACACTCTGACCTCAAACATACCTTGGGCCTTCCTCTGATGACTTCTCAGCCATTTTTCTTTTTTGAGATGGAGTCTCGCATTGTCACCCAGGCTGGAGTGCAGTGGCACAATCTCAGCTCACTGCAACCTCCTCCTCCTGGGTTCAAGCGATTCTCATGACTCAGCCTCCTAAACAGGTGGGATTATAGGCGCACGCCACCATGCCCTGCTGATTTTTGTATTTTCAGTGGAGGCAGGGTTTCACCACGTTAGGCAGCCTGGTTTCGAACTACTGACCTCAAGTGATCCGCCCACCTCAGCCTCCGAAAGTCCTGGGATTACAGGCGTGAGCCACCGCACCTGACCTCAGACATTTCTCTTAAAGGTCCATATCAAATCCCACCTCTTAGCACATCAAGGACTTCCCTTCTCCACTGAATCTACTGTGCATACTTTCCAGATCACATATTTGGCTCTCTCTTGGTTCACACCATATTTCTCCTCTCTTCAGTCCCAGGAACAAGGGACTGGCTGCTCCTCAGCTGTGTGCAGCAGTGCGCAGGACTCACCTTGCATGGGGCAGGCACACAGCTTTTTCACTACTAGTTGTGGGAAGCATAGGGGTGAAGAGTGTGGGTTTCTCCAACTGACCTTTCGTGCCCCAGGTGGTGTGGGCTGGAAGATACGGGCCTGCATGTCAGAGGGCAGATTGGCATAAATGGGCAGCACCAGGAGCTCCCGGATTTTGGAGCCCAGGCGGCGGCAGCGATCCTGGAGCATCTCACAGGCAGCCTCAATCTCCTCCTGGATAGAGGGTAGGGAGAGCAGCAGGGGTCCCAGAGTCACAGAAGGCCAACATGCCGGCCCTGTCTTCCCCTGGGATACATCATCCCCTCTCCCCACCATGTCAGGCACCTGTCCTGTCAGGAACACCAGGATATCCCCAGGGGGCTGGGTCACATGGATCTGCAACACAGATACTACACAAGCTTCCAAGTAGTCAGCCTCTGGAGCCTGGAGAGCAGAAAGAGATGGGGTCACAGGAGGGCCACCTGCTTAGGCAAACCTTTCCTCTCCTCCCAATTCAACATACACTTTATCCTAGTTCCCCTTTGAACCTTCCATTCCATCTTTCCCTCCACAGGATAACCTTCTCCAAAGGCCTCAGCTTTTCTGCCACAGACTTAAGCCCATCCTCCCTGAGGGGGCACCTTGGTGTAGAAGATGTCCACAGGAAACCTGCGTCCGGGGATTCGAAACACAGGGGCGTCATCAAAGAAGGTGGAAAAACGGGCAGTGTCCATTGTGGCTGAAGCCACCAGGACCTTGAGCTCAGGTCGGAAGCGAGCAACATCCTTGATCAATCCAAAGAGAATGTCTGTGTGTAGGGTCCTTTCGTGTGCCTCATCCACCATCACCACGCTGGGGAGGGAATAGGAGAGCAATGAGGGAAGAGCGCTAGGCAATGCAGTATCAGACACCAGGGTTAACTGGATGAGAGGGGAGTAATGGACACAAAGAGTTCAAGAATGACTGTTGACGGAGGGGGCTCTAAGGAGAAGTCAGCCATCCCACTTATGTAGAGCAACAGAAAGTCAGAGAAGGCCAGGGCCCCATGATCTGCAACCTATCCCAGCCTCAGCAGATAATAGGAGACAAGATGTAGAGGCTGCACACTGAGGCCAGGACAAGTTAGCCATACCCTCTAGTTCAGTCAAGAGTCTGCTTAGACTCAGCAGCTGCTCTTACTAGAAAAAGTTGAAGGATATGTTTTAGGCTGGGCATGGTGGTAGCTCACGCCTGTAATCCCAGCACCTTGGGAGGCCGAGGCAGGTGGATCACAAGGTCAGGAGTTCGAGACCAGTCTGGCCAATACAGTGAAACCCCGTCTCTTCTAAAAATACAAAAAAAATTAGCCAGATGTGGTGGTAGACGCCTGTAGTCCCAGCTACTTGGGAGGCTGAGGCAGGAGAATCGCTTGAACCTGGGAGGCAGAGGTTGCAGTGAGCCAAGATCGTGCCACTGCACTCCAGCCTGGGTGACAGAGCGAGACTCCATCTAAAAAAAGAAAAAAGAAAAAGTGGAAGGATTTTTTTTTTGAGACAGTCTTGCTCTGTTGCAGGCTGGAGTGTAGTGGCATGATCTCAGCTCACTGCAAGCTCCGCCTCCTGGGTTCACACCATTCTCCTGCCTCAGCCTCCCAAGTAGCTGGGACTACAGGTGCCTGCCACTGTGCCTGGCTAATTTTTTGTATTTTTAGTAGAGACGGAGTTTTGAAACAGAGTCTCACTCTGTCGCCCAGGCTGGAGTACAGTGGCACGATCTCGGCTCACCGCAAGCTCCGCCTCCTGGGTTGCGTTCACGCCATTCTCCTGCCTCAGCCTCCTGAGTAGCTGGGACTACAGGTGCCCGCCACCACGCCCAGCTAATTTTTTATATTTTTTAGTAGAGACGGGGTTTCACCGTGTTAGCCAGGATGGTCTTGATCTCCTTACCTCGTGATCCGCCTGCCTCTGCCTCCCAAAGTGCTGGGATTACAGGCGTGAGCCACCGCTCCCGGCTGATACGTTTTAAAGGAAAAAAAAAGTGGAAGGCAGGGTCCCTTTCAATAAGGGTGGGCCAGCAAGGCTGACTGGGGGTAATAGACCTGAGCTGCTGTGATTCAAATAGCCTAGAAGCTCCTGGTGTCCTGTGGGACAACTGCTGCTGGCATCATTCTTGACTGTTTCTTCTTTTGGAGACAGGAGCAAGTTAAGCCTTTCTACCTCAACTCTCACAGGACTCTGCATGCTCCTTGGTTTCCTCCTAACTCAGTTATGTGCATGACACCTTCTTTCTCTTTGTTCTTTGGCTTTTCTGGGTGGCAGCCAAGTCCCAGGAACTCATCCCCATCTTCCCCTACCCACCTCCCTGACCTCAACTCTTTGTGCCTAACCCTAACTGTGATGGTGAAGTCCCCAGCCATTCCACAAAGCAGGCTGGCTCGATGGGCAAAAACATCTGCATCAGACACTCTTGCGCTGGCTGGCTCTCCATGGGTTCTTAGAGATCTTTTGCAAGGGATATGAAGGATAAAATCCTATCTGTCCAATTGCTCCACTGTGATCTTCCAAGACCAGAAATTCACAGCCTCTGAAGAGTCAAAAAGGCACATATTGTTCAGCTGGCCTGACCCCACCCCCATTACATTCATGAATCCCTTTTCCCCCTCAACACATGTTCAACCAACCCCTGCTTGGCCATTTCCAGCACTAAGAGCTCATTATTCACAGACCAAGCTACCCAAGACTTGTGTGGAGGGCCAAGACCCAGAGTCCAACCACTCTGACAGGCCCTGCAATCTCCACCACTCTGAGGGTTACTCAGCCATTGGTATTGAGTTGGAATCTGTCTCCCTGTAACCTCCCCATGGCTCCTAGCTATGTCGTGTAGGGTCACATAAAACAATCTGATCCTTCTTTCCATGTAACAGCCTTCACATATTTAGAGGGAACCAGGATGCTTCCTGTTTCTCCCTCTGAGCTGAGCATTCCAAGTGTTTTCAAATGGTCTTCACACGGTATTTCAAGTCTCGGCAGCAATGCTCTGCTATCCTGGTTGTTTTCTAAACCCTGGAGATGAATGGGGAAAGAAGAGGCTTTCTCTACAATCTCTTCTGTCCTCCAGCCCCATCTCCGTGGTACCTGGAGGTCAGTTCAAGGACCATTTGAACCACAAAGATTCAAGAACGGGTGGATTAATCAGAAGACAATGGCTGAATTGGCTGGGTGGGAAGAAGGGAGAGAAAGGCCAGAGATTAGAGATACCTGTAACTCGCCAGGTCAGGCTCAGAGAGGAACTCCCGGAGAAGCATCCCATCTGTCATGTAGCGGAGGACAGTTCGCTCTGATGTGCAGTCCTCAAAGCGGATGCTGTAGCCAACCTGGTCAAGGGAACCATTAGCAACCAAGTGTGGGCTGGTGTGCCCTGAAAGGAACTTGGGGAAAGGTGAAGTGGGGCAGCACCAAGACTTCTGCTGTAGGGACCTGAGGGAACTGTAGACTGAGTCACAGACCCCAGACTCTACCCCCCGGTTCCCTAGAAATCTCACCTCATTCCCAAGCTTCACACCCATCTCCCGGGCCACTCGGGCGGCCACACTCATGGCAGCCACTCTCCGGGGTTGGGTGCAGGCAATCTTCATACCCTTGTTTGTATAACCCTGAATGACAAAGAAAAAAGAAGAAGTTTGCCCTTTACTAAATATGCACCCTGGGACCAGGTACATTTCAGAGAAAGAAGTTGTAAAAACCAGGCAGGAGAAAAGGAGGAAAAGACAGATGCTGAAAACCAGAAAAGAAGGGCAAATAGATAGGATGACAGACCTAGGGCCCTCAAAGGGGGTCCTCACCCAGCTCTGGGTAATTAAGTTCATGACTCTGCTAGACTTGAGCTGGAAAAGAACAGATTAGCTGAGACAGAGCCAGCTAAGGTAAAAAAGCAGGAAGGCTGGGCACAGTGGCTCATGCCTGTAATCCTAGTACTTTGGGAGGCTGAGGTGGGAGGATGGCTTGAGCTCAGGAGTTCGAGACCAGCCTGGGCAACATAGTGTGACAAAAAAATTAAAAATTCAAAATTTTGACCAGGCACAGTGGCTCACACCTGCAATTCCAGCACTTTGGGAGGCCGAGGCAGACGGATCTCCTGAGGTTGGGAGTTCGAGACCAGCCTGGCCAAAATGGTGAAACCCCGTCTACTAAAAATACAAAAAATTAGCCGAGCATGGTGGTGCATGCCTGTATTTCCAGCTACTTGGGAGGCTGAGGCAGGAGAGTCGCTTGAACCTGGGAGACAGAGGTTGCAGTAAGCCAAGATCATGCCACCGCACTCCAGCCTGGGCAACAGAGCAAGACTCTGTCTCAAAAAAAAAAAAAAAAAAATTTCAGGCCAGGCACAGTGGCTAACACCTGTAACTCCAGCACTTTGGGAGGCTGAGGTGGGCAGATCACGAGGTCAGGAGATTGAGACCATCCTGGCCAACATGGTGAAACCCCATCTCTACTAAAAATACAAAAATTAGCTGGGTGTGGTGGTACGCACCTGTAGTCCCAGCTACTTAGGAGGCTGAGGCAGGAGAATCACTTGAACCCAGGAGGTGGAGGTTGCAGTGAGTCAAGATCGCGCCACTGCACTCCAGCCTGGTGACAGAGCAAGACTCCACCTCAAAAAAAAACAAAAAATGTTTAATATGGGCATGGTGGTGTGCACCTCCCAGATACTCAGGAGGCTGAGGTGGGATGATCTCTTGAGCCCAGGAGTCCCAGGTTGCAGTGAGTCATGATGGTGCCACATCACTCCAGCTTGGGCATCAGAGCAAGAGCCTGTCTCCAAAATAAGGCAGGGGCTAGGCACAGTGGCTCACACCTGTAATCCCAGCACTTTGGGAGGCTGAGGTGGCTGGATCACTTGAGGTCAGGAGTTCGAGAGCAGCCTGGCCAACATGGTGAAACCCCATCTCTACTAAAAAATTAGCCAGGTGTGGTGGCGCATGCCTGTAATTCCAGCTACTCTGAAGGCTGACGCAGGAGAATTCCTTGAACCCAGGAGTCAGAGGTTGCAGTAAGCCAAGATCGCACCACTGCACTCCAGCCTGGGTGACAGAGCAAGACTCCGTCTCCAAAAAAAAAAAAAAAAAACTAACAAAAAGGCAGGAAAATAGTCCTTTAACTCCTTGTTTTTTGGCCACGTTGGAGCATAGGGAGGTCCACATTTATACACGCCCCACTCCACCTATCCATCTACCCGTCCTTCCAAATGAAATGAATGCAGGAAGTGAGAACAGAAATGTGAAAAGGGTATGGTCTTTACTCTCAAGAATTTCACAATTTAGTGGAAAAGATAGGTAAGTGACTACTAAAAATATAATGTAAAAGGAGCTCTGACAGGAATGAGGACATTGATGCCAGGTGCCCTGGCAAGCTGAAGGGTGAGATGACTGTACCTCCTCAAAGAGATACTGCGGGATCTGGGTGGTCTTCCCTGAGCCTGTCTCGCCTTCAATGATGAGGACTTGGTGATTTGCAATAGCAGCCAGGAGCTCCTCTCGAAATGGGAACACCGGGAGGCTGCGGCGGACGGCCTGGATGGACTCTTTCTGCTGGGCCTGAGTTGAAGTGGGTGGAGCTGACGGCTCCTAAGGAAAGAGAAGGAGGTGTGAGCTAAATAGCTCGCTACGGGTCTTCCTCAGAAAGTCTCCCAGCTCCCCTCTTACCTCATCACCCTGGAGCTGAGTGGCCCGGACAAACTCAATGGTCTCCTCCTCCTCCAGCACCAGTTGATACTTGGGCTCCTGAGAGGCAGCATCTCGGGCCCCAAACTTCAGGGACGCTGCCCCAAGCCGCGCCTCCTCCCAGCGCCGCTGCTCCTCCCCAGGGGCTCCTGATTCCTCCTCCACTAGATCCACAGCTCGGGCTGGCTACAGAGAGAGGGGATATGTGAAGACTCAAAAACAGGATGTCCTCTCTGCCCTCTCCCCTCTTCCCATTACTACCCCCGCCCACTGCCCATTGGGAACGGCAAGGCAAGAAAGGGGATGACCCACGTGTTGCCCAATCCCCTGAAGCCTTCCCCACAACTTGTCTTGGGGACCAAGGCTGAAGCAGACGCCGCTTCACCTCACCTGTCCTCGGGTTTCCTTGGGCATGTGGTAGCGATTGGTGGCCTCCAGCTTCTCCTGCTCCCCAGCTGCCCGGTACTCCCGGGCGAGATCCCGCACTCGCCGCTTATATTTGAGCTCCTGCCGCTCGTGCCGGCTCAGCTCCACGTCCCCAAAAAGGAACTCCTCATCAGCCAGCTCCGCCTCCAGGTCCTCAAGCTTCTCTCGCTCCCGCTTAGCCAGGTACTCTCGGCGAGATTTCTTCCGCAGCTCAGGGACCTGAGTTGGGAAAGGACAGTCGAATCCTCATCTTGCTGGAGGAGCAACCCCTTTCTCTACCAATCCCTACAAGGGAAAAATCCCCTGACAGGCAGGCATGAGAACCTCAGGATGCACCCTCTACCTTCCCTCTGCAATGCACAACCAAAACAATGACATACTCAAATCTGGGCCTCTTTGGATGCTACATGCTGACCCCACATCGTATCTTCCTGCAGCAGAATCCAGCTGGAAAGTCCTCTTAGGCAGCATTATCATCTTTGTTAATATAGATGCACTAGGGAGATGTCTGCGTAGCTTATATTTTACTCTTGCCATTTTATTCAAATTAGTGGAAAGGGGGAAAATAAAAGGCTAATCCAGCATTTAGAAGCACAGGACTCAAACCGAAAACAATTCAGACAAAGATAGAAACCAGTGAGGGGGCCAACAGGAGGCAATCTTCAGCCCCAGTTAGATGTTCTTTGGTCTTAAACGGAATGACTGTAGTTTGAGGAAGGGAGAAAAACTGATTATAAAAAGTTAGGACTACAGCATCAGAGTGTTTCTGTAAGGCAAATGTAATCAGGGATGTTTGGCTTTCTGGTACTAACCTCTCTTCACCATGCTGTGTCTCACTTAGTTTCTACACATTTACCTTTGATACAAACTTTTCAGGACACATTATGGATGACAGCAGAAAACTGGCAATATCTATAAGGCCCTTTCCTGCCAGGAGTCCTCCCACTATGACATCATCCTCTCTGTGATCACAACTTCCTCTACTGCAAGGTCAAAGCCCCTCTGGTGGCTGGGTGGGCGTGGTGACTCACACCTGTAATCCCAGCACTTTGAAAGGCTGAGGTGGGTGGATCACCTAAGGTCAGGAGTTAGAGACCAGCCTGGCCAACATGGTGAAATCCCGTCTCTACTGAAAATACAAAAATTAGCTGGGCATGGTAGTGGGCACCTGTAATCCCAGCTACTCGGGAGGCTGAGGCAGGAGAATCATTTGAACCCGGGAGACGGAGGTTGCAGTGAGCTTAGCTCACGCCATTGCACTCCAGCCTGAGCAACAAGAACAAAACTGCATCTTTAAAAAAAAAGCCCCTCTGCTGTTCTACCCTTAAGGGGCCTGGTTCTATTTAGTTGTTTGGCTTTTCTTGTTTGTTCTGTAAAGACTTAAAATGCAGTTTATGATCATGACCTAATCTGGGTACCACAGTCAAATATTCCTTCCATGGAAGAGCCAGATAGATTTTTTTTTTAATATGGGCAAAAAATCAGAGCCATTTGAGCATTAAAAAGAATAATGATGTGAGATTATAAAATACTGAAAAATAAAAATTCATGAGTCCAATTTGACACACACAAACAAAAAACAAGGGAAAAAAATCTGTCACCAGTGAAATGACTGTTACAGCAAACGCCTTACTCTAAAAATTCGTATTTAAAAGGAAACAAACATTTACCCTTTTTAAGAAGGAACTGTAGCTTGTTCCTAGTTGTTGAGGAAAAGCTCTTCTTTATAGACAAATTCTAGCCAATACACGTAACAGGAATGACAGAATCAAAAAATCACCATTTCGGCCGGGCGCGGTGGCTCACGCCTGTAATCCCAGCACTTTGGGAGGCTGAGGCAAGAGGATCACGAAGTCAGGAGATCGAGACCATCCTGGCTAACATGGTGAGACCCCATCTCTACTAAAAATACAAAAAATTAGCCGGGCGTGGCAGCAGGCGCCTGTAGTTCTAGCTGCTCAGGAGGCTGAGGCAGGAGAATGGCATGAACCCGGAAGGCAGAGCTTGCAGTGAGCCGAGATCGCACCGTTGCACTCCAGCCTGGGCGACAGAGCGAGACTCTGTCTCAAAAAAAAAAAAAAAAATCACCATTTTGCAATCCCCAATAAAAATAACATGTTCAGGAAAGGATTACCAGTGGCTTCTAAAAGCATTTGATGAAAGGCTATTGGTAGAAAGGATATTAATACTAATATATAGATACACAACTGGATAGTATGTCCCCGTGATATGACATAATATGAAGTGCACATCACCGCCCAAGAAGTGTTCCTGCCACAACTG
The DNA here is from genome assembly GCF_000001405.40 of Homo sapiens. Classification (NCBI taxonomy): domain Eukaryota; kingdom Metazoa; phylum Chordata; class Mammalia; order Primates; family Hominidae; genus Homo; species Homo sapiens. Next base: position 2,011,876 of record NT_167247.2, read on the forward strand.
TTTAATCTGAGTGTCAATAAGCTTTAGACCCAATTCCTGCTTCAAAGAAAGCACAGGGCAGAGAAGTACTTAACACCACAAGATAAGAATCAGGCAAATCCAGAATGTAGGACACTGCAAGGTGAGACAGACAGAGAGAGAAACAAACTTAACATCTAAGACCCAAATGCAATGCATGAACCTTGACTGCATTCTTGTTAGGAAAAAGCAGTCATTAAAGTTATTTTGAGGGTAATGAGGGTATCTTTTATTGTAGAGAGATCTTAGTCGATACATAAGAATTACTGTTCAACTTCCTGACTGTGACAAGAGCATTCTGATTTTAGAGGACAATATCTTTATCCTTAGCAGGTACACACTGATGTACTTAGAGATAAAACGCCATGATGTCTAAGACTCTTTTAAATGGTCTGAAAAGAAAAAACATACCACATTTACAATTACAATGCAAATACTACCCATAGTATTAACCATTTTTCAATCTGAATAGTGTCTATGAGTGTTCTTTGTTCTATTCTTTCAACTTCCCTATGTGCTTAAATATTTTTGTAATCGAAAAAGAAAAATTACAGCTGGGCACAGTGGCTCACGCCTGTAATCTTAACATTTTGGGAGACCGAGGGGGGTGGATCGCCAAAGGTCAGGAGTTTGAGATCAGACTGGCCAACATGGTGAAACCCTATCTCTACTAAACATACAAAAATCAGCCAGGCATGCTAGTGCATGTCTGTAGTCCCAGCTGCTCGGGAGGTTGAGGCAGGAGAATCACTTGAACCCGGGAGGCGGAGGTTGCAGTGAGCCGAGATCATGCCACTGCACTCCAGCCTGGGCGACAGAATGAGATTCTGTCTCAAAAAAAACCCGAAAAATTAAATTCAGGCCAAAACAGTAACACCACTACCACCACAACTGCACTGAGATGTCCCAGAAGCCTAACCACAGTCAATTTCAGGAAGAGATATGAGATAAATTGGTCAGGAGAGACCTGGGAACCAGTAGGCCATTCTTAGAACTCCAAAAGTTGGCCGGGCACGTGGTGACTCACGCCTATAATCCCAGCACTTTGGGAGGCCGAGGCAGGTGGATCACCTGAGGTCAGGAGTTCAAGACCAGCCTGACCAACATGGAGAAACCCCATCTCTACTAAAAATACAAAATTAGCCAGGCGAGGTGGCTCATGCCTGTAATCCCAGCTACTCTGGAGGCTGAGGCAGGAGAATCGCTTGAACTCGGGAGGTGGAAGTTGCAGTGAGCCAAGATCACGCCACTGCACTTCAGCCTGAGCAACAAGTGCAAAACTCTGTTTCAAAAAAATAAATAAATGAATTTTAAAAAGTAAAAACGGCCAGGCGTAGTGGCTCATGCCTATAATCCCAACACTTTGGGAGGCCAAGGCGGGCAGATCACAAGGTCAAGAGATCAAGACCATCCTGGCCAACATGATGAAATCTCCTCTACTAAAAATACAAAAAATTAGCCGAGTGTGGTACTGCAGGCCTGTAGTCCCAGCTACTCAGGAGGCTGAGGCAGGAGAATCGCTTGATTCCTCCACCAGGGAGGCACAGGTTGTAGTGAGCTGAGATCGCACCACCACACTCCAGCCTGGCAACAGAGTGAGACTCCATCTCAAAAATAAATAAATAAAAATAAAAAATAAAACAAAACAAATAAAAAGAAGGCTGGGCATGGTGGCTCACGCCTGTAATTCCAGCTCTCTGGGAGGCCAAAGCAGGTGGATCACAAGGTCAGGGGTTCGAGACCACCCTGGCCAACATGGTGAAACCCCGTCTCTACTAAAGGTACAAAAAATTAGCCAGGCGTGGTGGTGTGCGCCTGTAATCCCAGCTACTCAGGAGGCGGAGGTTGCAGTGAGCCGAGATCGCATCATTGCACTCCAGCCTCGGTGACAGGGCAAGACCCCGTTTCAAAAAAAAGAAAAAAGGTTTAAAAAAAAAAAAAAAAAAAAAAAGGAACTTCAAGAGTCTCAAAATTCTATTGGGGTATTGGGGAATCTAAGTGTGACTTTACTTGACAAGACCAGGCCTTTGGAAAACAGCTTACCCTACCTAGTTTCACACCATAAAAAGTCCAGTTTATGAATTACAAGGGCTCTGTCCCTGTCCAGTGAGAAGACACAGGGAGATCACAAAGCCACATAAGGGGTGCAGGAATTAGGTGGTGGGAAGGTATTTGGAGATGGTGTGCCTAAGCTGAATGGTCAGCACATCCCTGTACAGTGGGACTGCTGCCCTGCCCTTGCCCTCCAGCAACCTTCTTGACAACATTCCAGCTGCCTCATATCTCATTAGGACTCAGGAATAGGGAAAGCTCACAATTTCATTCACTAATAGAGTATATTTGATCCTAAAGTTAAGAGTCAAGGAGGACTTATGGGTAGCCTCCTTCCCCCTACAACTTAAGAAGGATCCTTCCCTCAACAACATAAGTCTATCCTCAGCTGGCTCCTAACAACCAAGCCCCTCTTCTAGAAACCTGACCACCCCATCAGCATCCACACTGTGCTTCCTCTGTATCCTCTCTCCCTATACACTCTATCAGAAAGTCTTTCCTTTTGTCTTCTGATCTTGGCTCCCTAGGCCCTGGGACTCACCATGGCCTTCCGGTCTTCCTCGGCCATCTTGAGGCGCTTCTGAGCCTCTTCATAAGCCTAGAAGAAAAAACAAGAATGGAGGGGTGTGAGGCCAAAGAGCCCCCACACTGACAGCTGCTCCCCTCTAGAATCACAAGGATCATTCAGATGCGCCCTAACACAAAAAATGTCCCCTCTCAGTGAGGAATCTCTCTGATTGCAGGTACAGCAGACAGTTGTCTTAGCCACAGGATGCACAGGGCTTCTCTCACCACAGAGGTGAACATCTCACTAGAGACAGCCCCTTGTCTTCCCAGAGATCACTATCTCTGCACTCACAGCCAACCTCAGATTTCACCCTGGGATCTTGGGGATTTACAGAACATGCTGCTCCTATTCACCTTCTTGTCTGACCGTTCCAGGACATTTCGAGTCCGATCCTTGTCCCGCTGTCGAACCCGCTCAGCAAAGGCATCACGCTCCTCCAGGTCCTGAAGGCGTTCACGCTCTGTCCGTTCCCACTCATCTTCCGACTCTGGCTTCTCTGTCTGCTGTTTACTCCCCCTGCAGCCCATCCAGGGGATTAAATAAGGGCATAGAGAACACTTCAGCCTGCCCCATCCTCTCTCACCCTGCTTCTGACTTACCCTGTTTTCTTCTTCCCTTTCTCAGAAGCCTCTTCCTCCTCTTCTTCCTCACGCTTCTTCCTGAGGTGTTTCCGCTTTTTACGTTTCTTCTGGAGGCTGCTTCCAGCCCTACTCACAGTCTCCTCACTGCTCTCTTCACTGTCTTCCAGTAACCTATAAGATCGGTTCTTCTCCAGCAGGGCCCGGGCCTCTCGCTCTGCTGCCCGAGCTGGCTTTTCTACCACTGCCTTTCGTGGTACCTGTCAGTAGAGGGGAAGATAAGGAGGTCTGAGCAACTCCTGATCTCTGCCCTCCCACTTAGCTCTGTTCCTAATTTAAGCAATTACTTAGTCTTTCCTGCCCCCGCGGCCCGGCCCCACTGTCAGGCAATGGCGTGATCTCGGCTCACTTCAACCTCCGCCTCCCAGGTTCAAGCAATTCTCCTGCCTCAGCCTCCCAAGTAGCTGAGATTACAGGCACATGCCACCACGCCCGACTATTTTTGTATTTTTAGTAGAGATGAGGTTTCACCATGTTGGCCAGGCTGGTCTCAAACTCCTGACCTCATGATCCACTCACCTCAGCCTCCCAAAGTGCTGGGATTACAGGCATGAGCCACCGCACCCGGGCACAATTACTTAGTTTTAAACCAGCTAACCAGCATTCATTCTCTTTCTTCCTCATGGCTTCACCCCATCTTCATCATCCTGAATGGGGTTTTTTATTTTTTTTTACAGACAGGGTTTCACTCTGTCCCTCTTGGGCTCAAGGGATCCTCCCACCTCAGGCTCCTAAGTAGCTAGAAACACAGGTGCACACTACCACGCTCAACTAATTTTTAATTTTTTTGTAGGACGAAGGTTTCGCCATGTTGCCCAGGCTGGTCTCGAACTCCTGGGCTCAAGTAATCCTCCTGCCTCAGCCTCCCGGGGTGCTGGGATTACAGGTGTGAGCCACTGCACCCGGCCCCCTCTGTTAATTAAACGACTGAAAGGAAGTTCAGAAGATGAGGGGGGCCGGGCATGGTGGCTCACGCCTGTAATCTCAGCACTCTGAGGGGGCTGAGAGAGGATTGCTTGAGCTGAGGAGTTAGAGACCAGCCTGCGCAACACACCAAGGCCTCATCTCTAAAAATAAAAATAAAAATAAAAGATATTAGCCGGGGGTGGTGGCGCGCGCCCGTAGTCCCAGCTACCGGGGAAGATGAGGTGGGAGGGTCGCTTCAACCAGGGAGGTCGACGCTGTAGTGAGCCGTGATCTTACGACCGCACTCCAGCCTGGGCGACGGGGCGAGCGAGACTGTGTCTCTCAAAAAAAAAAAAAAGAAAGAAAGAAATGCAGAAACTAAGATCCCTACTGAATCGCAATCTGCATTTTAACAAGAACCTTGGATGCATGTTAAGAGTTCGAGAAACACCGTTCTATTGCGCTTAACCCGACACACCTAAGCCCTCCTCAATCTTCTCCACTGAGCTGGGCGTCCAGCAGCTAGCACAGTACCTACGCGACAACGGACAAAGAATAAGTGCTTGTGAACTGAGCTTTCTTAACTTCTCGATGGACCGTTAGGCCAGCCTCACCGGGACAAATCACAGGGCCCCTCCCCACCCCTGCCGACACCTTGTTCCAGAGTCTCAGGGCGAAGTCCCGGGCCGGCCCACTGAGATCCAAGGTATCAGTGTCTCGTAGGCGCTGCACGAACTCCTCGGCAGAGGTGCAGCGCTGTGCGGTACCGATCAGAAACTGGGCGACGTGCCGCTCGCTCAGCCCCAACACCGAGTGCAGCTCGTCCTGAACCCAGCGCTCCAGACCCGCCGGCGTCGCCATGGCGACTCACGCTCCCTGCTCCCGGCCCTGAAGCGTCGGGCAGCCGCGCTCACTGCTGGGCCGGTCAGAGGCCTGGAGCCCTCGGCTGGAGCCTCAGCTTCGCAAGTCAGCTACCTTGGGACCTCTAGGATCTTCCGACATCCCAAAGCTGTCTTCCCGTACCGCGGAGCCCGGAAGGGGCTGTACTTTTTCGGCCTCTAAGCACTACGGTGGCCGAGCGAGTTCAAACCTCGCGGAACCATACCTGAAAACTCGGGGTAATTCTTTTTTCTTCATTTCGCCTCTGTCCAGTTTCTCTGACGCCCCCTGATGGTCAGTCTGTGAGTGCTTCGCTCACGCATTCATTCAACAAGTGAAATTAATTTAATGGATGCCTAATGTGTGCTCATTGCTTTCCGTCCCTGGGATATAGCAGAGGACAAATCAAAAGTTCCTTACCAAATTTACATTTTGCGGTGGGGGAGGGACAGGATACATAATAAAGAAAGTATGGAAATTTTATAGAGCCAAAAACTATACAAAGTAAGGGAGGAATGAAATTCTATTTCAGATTGGAAGATCGGGTCCATGCTCATAAAACATATTAGCATTGTTGGCCGGGCGCGGTGGCTCATGCCTGTAATCCCAGCACTTTGGGAGGCCAAGGCGGGCGGATTATCTGAGGTCAGGAGTTCGAGACCAGCCTGGCCAAGATGGCGAAACCCTGTCTCTACTAAAAATATAAAAATTAGCCTGGCGTGGTGGTGTGCGCCTGTAGTCCCAGCCACTCGGGAGGCTGAGGCAGGAGAATCATTTGAACATGGGAAGCAGAGTTTGCAGTGAGCCGAGATCCCACCACGGCACTCCAGCCTGAGCAACAGAGGAAGTCTCTGTCTCAAACAAACAAAAAAGTGACCGTTGCTAGGACTGGTTTGCCTGCAGCAGGAGTGAAGACAGGTCAGGTATAAGGGAAGACCTCTAGGCAGGAAGAAACTGGGGAACTGGGGAAAGTTGTTAAAGACAAAATCTCCAAACTAAGGAACAGGCAAACTGTGTTCTGCATTTTTGCTTAACAGCTTGAGAAAATCACTGGTGGCTGCTTATTTAAAAGTAAGCAAGGCCAGGTGCAGTGGCTCTTGCTGTAATCCCAGCACTTTGGGAGGCTGAGGCAGGAGGATATCTTGAGACCAGGGGTTTGAGACCAGCCTGGGCAACAGGGTGAGACCCCACCATCTCTACAAAAAATTAGCCAGGTGTGGAGGTGTGCACCTGTAGTCCCAGCTACTCTGGAGACTGAGACAGGAGAATTTTTTTTTTTTTTTTTGGAGACAGAGTCTCGCTCTGTTGCCCAGACTGGAGTGCAATGGCACGATCTCGGCTCACTGCAACTTCCGCCTCCCAGGTTCAAGTGATTCTCCTGCCTCAGCCTCCTGAGTAGCTGGAATTACAAGTGTGACAAGCACATGCCATCACGCCCAGCTAGTTTTTGTATTTTTAATACAGATGGGGTTTTACCATGTTGGTCAGGCTGGTCTCAAACTCCTGACCTCATGATCCGCCCGTCTCGGCCTCCCAAAGTGCTGGGATTACAGGCGTGAGCCACCGCACTGGGCCTGAGACAGGAGAATCTCTTGAGCCCAGGAGCCAGAGGTTGCAGTGAGCCGAGGTCAGGCACTCCAACCTAGGCAACAGACCAAGACTATGCTCAAAAAAAAAAAACAAACAAAACAAAAAGCTGAATTTGTTACTCGATGCTCTGCTGTCTGATTTGTTTGATCCTGCATCATACTTTTGTGATTAATTGCAGTTACCAGGCACTACTGTTAGGAAATGAAACATTGTTCTTATTAATAGCCACAAGTGGATCTACATCACTGACTTTTTTTTTTTTTTTTTTGGAAAGGGAGTCTCGGAGTCTCACTCTGTCGCCCAGGCTGGAATGCAGTGGCGTGATCTTGGCTCACTGCAGCCTCCACCTCCTGGGTTCAAGCAATTCTCCTGCCTCAGCCTCCTGAGTAGGCGGGACTACAGGTGCGTGCCACCACGTCCAGCTAATTTTTTGTATTTTAGTAGAGACGGGGTTTCATCATGTTGCCCAGGCTGGTCTCAAACTCCTCAGATGAGGCAGTCCACCCGCCTTGGCATCCCAAAGTGTTAGGATTACAGGCATGAGCCACCACACCTGGCCTGACCTCTTGAATGCATTGTTTTCTGTTTCTGAGATGGACTGTGAGCACCCCTGGCACCTCGGAGCTTCCTAACTCTGTTTTCCTGGGTCACAACTGGAAACTTTTTAAGACCTTTACCTAACAGGCTACTAATATAATCATTCTGTTTCCTTCCCTACCCAGACCTTCTCTGAACTGGCTGAGTCTTTTGACACCTGGCTTGTTCTCTTGCTAGTAAATTGAAAACCTTTGGCGTATGCTTAAGTTCAATTTGTCTCATATATTTTGTTTTATAGTAAAGGTGTGGGGCCTCCTCTGACCAGTCTGAGAGGAGCAACTTGTAGTGGTAGAAGGACTATAACTATTCAACCATATCTTTGTTAGCCTGGAGAGCTAACAACAAACAAACAAATTTTCCTGATGAGTAAAATATTGATGTTCCACATTTGTATAAGATATTCTTTGAAATGGGAAAATTCCAAATATCAACTACATGGGCACCAAAGCCATGCACTATCAAGATGGTTTTTAAACCTTTTTTTTTTTTTTTGAGATGGAGTCTCACTCTGCTGCCCAGGCTGGAGTGTAATGGCGCAATCTCAGCTCACTGCAAGCTCCACCTCCCGGGTTCATGCCATTCTCCTGCCTCAGCCTCCCGAGTAGCTGGGACTACAGGTGCCCACCACTATGCCCCGCTAATTTTTTGTATTTTTAGTAGAGACGGGGTTTCACCGTGTTAGCCAGGATGGTCTCAATCTCCTGACCTTATGATCCGCCTGCCTCGGCCTCCCAAAGTGCTGGGATCACAGGCGTGAGCCACCGTGCCCGGCCTTTAGGCCTTTAACGATATAAAATCCATTGTCTATCAGAGGGGAACCTTTTCCAGGAAACTGACTCTTGTACATACTTACTTCATTTTGCAGCAATTTCAGATTTAGTATTCGTAGCCCCAGCTCTTTAAGTAAGTATCCCTGGATTAGCCACATGGGTTGTGTCATACACTACCTAGCTGCCTTCATGGCAGCAGGCTTCTGAATACTAGAACCCTTCAACTCAAAGTGTCCTCTGTAATATTTTAACCCTTTTCTTCTATTCATTCATTTGTTGTCATTCATTCTAGAAATAATTCCGTGTCTACTAGTTGACAGGTACAGGATATTGCAGTGAATCCAGCTGATGTAGTCAGCCCTCATGGCACTTCCAGTCTAGTGGACACTTCAACTGCCCTTTCTCATGTCACCTGCTTGTCCTGCGTGAAACCCACGTGCAGCTTCCCAGACCCCTTTTGACATGTCAGTGCCGAGTTCCTGGTTCATCCCCCATCATTTTCCTCTCCCCCAGCCACCAGAGCCTCCCCTCACATACCCTTTTTTTTTCCCAAAGAAGGAGAAGCAGACGAGTTGAAGAGAACTCCATTTTATTATGGAAAGTTAAAAAACAAACAAAACAAAACAGGCAATTGATAAAGGCGGCACAATGGGGAAGGAGAGGTGAGGTGTCTCCTTAGCCACCCGACACCATCTCAATTCAGTTCAATTGTGAACCACTAGGAGAAACAGAATTAAATAACTATCAAGGGGTACAGAGTTAAGAGTTCCAGCCTTCCCTCTTGGGGAAAACTAAGGCAAAGTAATACTGAGAAAAAGTGGAGGAAGCCACACCTTCAGGTCACTCCAATGAGGAGACTGGAGGGGACAGAGGAGAGAATTCCACGCAGACACAGCAAGTAAGCGTGGCTTGTAAACCTGGGACTTTGGCAGGTGGGGCTGGGAGCTGATGGAATTTGTAAACCAGGCTGTGGTCAAGGGAGGAGGCAGGAGCTGTAAACAAAGGGGCAGTGACCTAGGAAATGAAGGAGATGTGCCTATAAATGGAGTGGGGTCTGGGCCTCCCAGAGAGACGAGTGCTTAAATCCCGAGAGTCCCCACGGGATGGTGGGGAGGAAGGCTGTGGGGAGAGTGTACCCTGCCATGGGGGGCAGGTGCTCCATCTCCACCCTCCAGGGAGTTCTGTGCCCCTTCTCAGGACTTGGCGCTCACTCTTGGATGACCTAGGATGCACCAGCACGTTTAACCCCACCCACACCAGGGACTTTGGATTAGGGTAGAAATTGGGCAATTGGCTCTGCCCCCAGAAACAGGGTGGGGAAAGCAAGTTACAAGATGTTGGTTGCCCTTCCCTGCCAGGCTCATTATCAGGGTCTGTCTGCCCTGAATCTTCCGGGCTCCAGGATCTTCAGTTATAAGAAGGAGGGAGGTATATCCCTATGTTGGAAGATGGTCACCGCCGGCAGGACTCATCTGTGGGAGAGGGGGCAATAATGTTAGAGAATGAGTGAGAGCCTCTGCCTTCTGCCCACCCTTCCCCCCCACACAAATTGAAGGGCAGTTGGCATGCAGGAAGTCCTATAATATCTTCCATATCTAAAGCATGTTACCACCAGTAACCACATCCATCACTCATTTAGCTCGGACTCTGTGCCAGGCATCCTTATAACTGTTTAATCTCACCATAACTCCAGGAGAGATTAAGTAATATGATATCCAGCTGTGGCTCTTGGTGCTTCACAAAAAATTACTTAATCTTGGCCTGGAGCACCTGTAATCCAAGCAATTTGGGAGGCTGAGGCAGGAGGATCACTTGAGGTCAGGAGTTCAAGACCAGCCTGACCAACATGGGGAAACCCTGTCTCTACTAAAAATATAAAAACTAGCCAGGTGTGATGGTACACATCTGTAATCCCAGCTACTAGAGAGGCTGAGGCACAAGAATCGCTTGAATTTGGGAGGCAGAGGTTGCAGTGAGCCAAGGTTGTGCCACTGCATTCCAGTCCAGGCGACAGAGGGAGACGCTGTCTCAAAATAAATAAATAAATAAATAAATAAAATTACTTAATATTTTCTACAAGTCTAGGAGGTAGTTTTTGGTTTCTGTTTTTTTGAGACAGAATTTCACTCTGTCACCCAGGCTGGAGTGTAGTGGCGTCATCTCGGCTCACTGCAACCTCTGCTTCCCGGGTTCAAGTGATTCTCCTGCCTCAGACTCCCGAGTAGCAGGGATTACAGGTGTCCACCTCCATGCCTAGCTAATTTTTGTATTTTTAGTAGAGATGGGTTTTCACTATGTTGGCCAGGCTGGTCTTGAACTTCTGACCTTGAGTGATCCACCTGCCTCGGCCTCCCAAAGTGCTGAGATTACAGGCGTGAGCCACCGTGCCTGGCCTGTTTGTTTCTTTTGAGACAGGTCTTCCTTTGTTGCCCAGGCTGGAGTGCAGTGGGTGGTGCAATATTGGTTCACTGCAGCCTCCAACTCCTGAGGTCAAACGATGCTCCCACCTCAGCCTTCCAAGTACCTGGAACCACAGCTGCGCACTGCCACACCTGGCTAATTTTTTTTTTTTTTTTTGAGACGGAGTCTCACTCTGTTGTCAAGGCTGGAGTGCAGTGGCACGACCTCGGCTCACTGCAAGCTCCGCCTCCCAGGTTCACGCCATTCTCCTGCCTCAGCCTCCCAAGTAGTTGGGACTACAGGTGCCCGCCACCACGCCCAGCTAATTTTTTTTTGTATTTTTAGTAGAGATGGGGTTTCACCGTGTTAGCCAGGATGGTCTCGATCTCCTGACTTCGTGATCCGCCCGCCTCGGCCTCCCAAAGTGCTGGGATCACAGGCGTGAGCCACCGTGCCCGGCCCACACCTGGATAATTTTTCAATTTTTTTGTAGAGACAGGATTTTGCCATGTTGCCCAGGGTGGTCTTGAACTCCTGGGCTCAAGCGATCCACCCGTCTTGGCTTCCCGAAGTGCTGGGATTACAGGCATGAGCCACAGGAGGTAGTTATTATTAACTTCATTTCATAAATAATAAACTAAAGCAAGAGATCAGATGGTTTCCCTGAGATCACACAATTAAAGAGACAAGCTGGAATTCCAACTCAGGCCTGTCGACCCACCCTGTGATTTTGACCAGATTACAGCACTCAGGAAGAGTTCTCGTTTTGAAACCTGAAGACTCAATGTGTACTTCACTGCCGGGGACCTCAGTTTGCCCATCTGTTAAAGGAGCATGTTGAACCAGAGGACCCGCCAAGCCCCTTCCGAGTGCCTACATGTAATCCTCCCTCCTCTCTCCTGGACCACAGCGCCCGCTCTGACAGCAGGGGGCGCCCTCGGGCCGGCGGAGCCTCCGCTTACCCACAATCAGGGCCTTGGTGCGCAGCCCGCCCTGGAGCTCTGGCTGCAGCAGCAGCAGCTCTTCCTCATCCTCTTCGTCGTCGGGTTGGGCTGCTGGAGGGTTGGGGGCACTGGGGACCTCAGGCTCCGGGCCCAGCTCCTCCAGTACCGAACTCTCGGAGGGGTATTGGTACGTGGTCTCCAGGGCTGTCTCGCTGAAGGAGATCTTAAGCTGAAGGAGGGAGAAAAAGGGGGCAGGAGGCAAGGTCAGCAGGGGAGAAGCCCGCGGGGGTTGAGGGAGAGAAAGCGGGGGCGGGGGGGGCGGAGTCTGCAAGGGAGCAGGTGGGACTGGCGGAACGTGGGGGTGGGGGCTGGACTCAGGTGCCCCACTCACTCTCCCCATCCACTCTGGGATCCAGTTTTCCTTTCCATACTGGCTCTCCAATTCTAGAGTTTCCCTCTTCGATCATATCATTTCAAAACATCAGACTTTGCCCTGTACGTTGGCAGGGGCTTGGGAGGCAGAAGTGAATAATATAAGACCAAGGTCCCTGCTATTTCGAGTGTGGGAGGCAGAGGGGTAAAAAGAAATTAAAATACATGGCGATAAGTCTTGTGATCAGAACCGAGTCTTTGGGCACCTTGGGGGCAATCGAGTGAACTTCCCAGAGGAGCCCAGCAGACTGGCCAGTGGGGAAAGAACTGGCTGGGGAGCGAGTCTCAGACAAAAGCAAGGTTTTCATACCCACAGCCCCTTGCTGTCCTATGCAAAACCCAGGACCCTGGGCACCTGTTCCCTCCTACTCTCCTCATTCCTCTCCTATCCATAGCAAAGGGAGTCTAGGGCCTAGGAAGAGATGGGAGATGAACAGAAAGGCCGAGAGGAACCAAGAGACTCCAGCAACACACAGGGGAAAGATGAGCCGCTGACACCCTGAAGGCTGGGGGAGATGACAAGGGCAGAAAGGAAAGTCCACACAAACCTGGGGTGGGGGTCCACAGTGTGCCCAAAGGGACAGGCACAGAGACAAAATACCAGACAGGGCACAGAAAACCCTTGGTAATCACACTGTCCCAAGAGCAGGCGAGTCCCAGCTGTTCTCACTGCCTTTCTACCCTTCCCCTTTGCCCTATTAAGAAGCTCAGGGGGAAGGGGCAGGGTGGGATTAAGTCTAGGAGCCAAAGGGATTAGGGAGACAGCAGGAGGATTCCATATGAACTACTTGGAAAGGTCCAAATGATCTACTCAGGCCTTCCCTGGCATCTGTTTGGGAAGACTTGGGGTCAGCCGTACATCCCTGAGTCCCCTAATGAACTGAGGTATGAAAAGAGAGAAGCCAGAAGGGTGGCTGGGCAGGTGGTTGTTAAGAGCTGCATCAATATGACACCAGTCAGGCATGGTGGCTCACACCTGTAGCCCCAGCACTTTGGGAGGTTGAGGCGGGAGGATTTCTTGAGCCCAGGAGTTCGAGACCAGCCTGGGCAATAGAGTGACACTGTCTCTAAAAAAGAAAAAAAAAGAAAACCAGATATGACACCTGGGTCCCCATGGGAAGGTAGAACTCAGGAACTGTATATGTTACTCCTTGTTGGCTCTGAACCCTGCAGTGTCTCCCCATCTCACTTGGAGCAAAAAGTCTACTCCAGGCTGGGCGCGGTGGTTCATGCCTATAATCCCAGAACTTTGGGAGGCCGAGGCGGGCGGATCACAAGGTCAAGAGATTGAGACCATCCTGGCCAACATGGTGAAACCTGTCTCTACTAAAAATACAAAAAAATTAGCTGGGCATGGTGGCGTGCACCTGTAGTCCCAGCTACTCGAGAGGACGAGGCAGGAGAATTGCTTGAACCCGGGAGGCGGAGGTTGCAGTGAGCCGAGGTCGCGCCACTGCTCTACGGCTTGGGCAACAGAGCAAGACTCTGTCTCAAAAAAAAAAAAAAAAAAAAGTCTACTTGATTGCCCCCAAGGTGCCCAGAGCCTGACCAAAGCCTACAGGGTGCTCCCAGTATGCCACCCTCCCCTTGCCTCTCTGGCCTCTTCCTCCACTCCAGCCACACTGGCCTTGGTTCCCTCCACGCACTCCTACCTCAGGACCAGAACAGTACTAGCTATTCCTTCTGCCTGGAACACTCCCCCAAAATATCCCCATGGCTCTGACCCTCCTGATCACCCTATTTTGAAGTCTCCATATTCACTCCCCCTACCTCCTGACCCTCTAAGTTCCACTGTTCTATTTTTTTTTCCATAATCACTTACCACCTTCTAACTTACTAGATAATTTACTAATATATTATACTCATGTCTGCTGTTGAAAGGAGCTTGGGGCCGGGTAAGGTGGCTCACCCCTGTAATCCCAGCACTTTGGGAGGCCAAGACAGGTGGATCACTTGAGGTCAGGAGTTCGAGACCAGCCTGGCTAACATGGTGAAACCCCGTCTCTACTAAAAATACTAAAATTAGCCGGGTATGGTGGCGTGCGCCTGTAATTCCAGCTACTCAGGAGGCTGAGGCTGGAGAATCACTTGAACCCGGGAGGTGGAGGTTGCAGTGAGCCGAAATCTCACCATTGAACTCCAGGCTGGGAGACAGCGAGACTGTCTCAGAAAAAAAAAAGAAAAGAAAAGAAAAAAGAAAGGAGCTTAGAAGTTGGTACAATGCAAGAGGTTAGGGTTTGTTCAGACCTCACATGAGGTGCCATCAGAGGACCAATGCTGGGGAAACGATCTGCGGGTGGTCCAGCCTGTACACATTTGACCCCCAGTTCATGTCTGTGGAACTGCTGGTAGAATCTAGTGACAGCAGCCAGACTGCTTATATCCCAAGTTCTCAGAAGGGACCGCTTAGGTTTCTGTAACTGACAGATTTACCCACATTTCTGGGAACCCATTTTTGTTTTCTTCTCATATCCTCTTTTGGAATAATAACCTCTGTACTTTATTTTCTACTCTGAAAATGACTTATTTTATTTGCTCTCGGTCTATGTTTATATCTCCCCCCCTACCCTGCCTGTCTCCTCACCCCCCACCAACTTCTGACTGGGCTTCTCAGAAATGCACAGCCTGCATGGGAGTGGGGGGGTAGAGAGGGGGTGACTCACTCGCTCCTCTCCCATCAGCTATATAAGGTCACAATGGGGCTGGTCTCTCAGCCCAACCAAGAGGCCTCTGGGGTAGGGCACCAGCCACAGCCATCCCCTGGGCTCCAGTGGCAGGGCTGGGATTTCTCTCCTGATGGCAGGGATAAATTTGATGGAATTAGCCTGCAAACGAGTTATTTAGGGAAGGTGAAGCGGGGGTTGGTGGCAGGGTCCTCCTATCTCCTATTCCTGAGCCAGTGTGTTGCAGCAGAGCTGGGACAAGGCACCCAGTCCCTGAAGAACAGGTTGCTGACAGGGGGTAGAGGGTGGAGGGTGAGGCGTCTGGGTCAGAGGAACTCTGTGCTGCCTCCTCCCCACCCCCACCCAAGCAGCGGCTGCTTCCTTATTCTCTCACCACATCCTGAGCACAGATCTGGCAGGCCCAGGGCCCAGGGCCCAGGGTTCCCCACTCAGCCCCACCAGCCTTCCGGCCCCCACCCCAGGCTTCCTGTTTGGGCGATCTGCTTCCGGCTCCCCTGCTCTCTGGCCTAGGTATGGTCACCAGCACAGGTCCTGCCCTGCACTTGCTTCCTGGCTCCCCTGGGATGCTCCCTGGGCTTTGGGCCCCAAAGCTTCATGCTTCCCTCTGCTCATTCTTCCCCAGAGGCACAAGCCTCTCTCAGTAGGAAGTGACTTTTCTGAACACCTCACCCGGGTAGCATTTCCGGACTTCTGTTTTTTTCATCTGCCCAGCCCTGAGGGGAACAGGCTGGTAGCAGTCAGAGGGCTGAGGGTAGGTTCCCAAGAACCATGGCTTAGAGGTGGGAGCTTACGCTTCATGTGAAGATGAATTGGGGGATCAAATGAACCCCCCTCCACCCAAGGCTTAACCCGTATCTTTAGTCCCTGTGGTTCCCCACTGACACTGAGGACACAAAAAAATCAAATCTGAGGATGTTAACACATGGGATGAGAATGAGACTGGGCTTCCCAGGCTCTGGGGAGATGTGTGTGACTGGAGGGACTTCCTAAGTCTGAGATGTCTGAGTGTGGGACCTCTGTCTCCCTAGAGATTTTCAAGCTGGAAACAGATGGATGTGCACAGGGAAGAAGTGAGGCCAGGGCCAGGGGGAGTCATCCTGGCTGCCCCCACTTTCCTGCAGGTCTTTGTTGCAAGTCTAACCTCTGACCCTCTGCTGGCCTCAGCCCCAACCCCTGTCCAGAACTCCCACTGTGCTCCCTGGCCAGTGCCTGTTCTCAAAACTGTCTCCAAATTCACTTCTCTCTTTTGCTACCCTAAGGGGAGGGAAAGTCCAGGATGGCAGGAAAAGAGGGGAAAACCGATCCCTGAGCCAGTTCTTGGGAGGGAGGGGAAACCCAGGGAGGAAGGACAGGGGAGTGAGGGGCGGGGGTATTTTGGAAGAGGAGAAGGCTTTTCTTGTCCCAAGAGAGAAGGGAGCACTGTCTGAAGCAGTGGCCCAGCTGGGGGTGTGCAACCCCGAGGTCACCCACTTCAAATGGCCTCTCTGTGTCTCTCCCATGGGGCAGACTCGGGGTTCAAAAGCCTTCTCTCTGCTCTTTGGCCGGCCCGGTTCCATCTCCCCTCTCCCCTCCATCCTAGGATGTCCCTATTCAGCTCTGCCCTCCTTCCCACGGGGCAGTTGGACCTTTCTCCATTCACTTCTCCCTGCAGTTTCTCCCTAGAACACAAACCCACCCCACCCCCTCCACCACCCCAGGCTCCCTATCCCTTCTCCCCAGAAAAACTGCAAGTGCTCTCACCCTGGTGACCCTGCCCTCACTGATTCAAGCTCGTCACTTTAGGCTCTCCCACTGGATGGGCTGGGGCAGGTCACACTCAGGAAAGGAAGGAAAGAAAAGGGGGTTGGAAACTCAGAGCCCAAGGGAAGGGAGAATGAGCAGCCTGGCACACCCTGAAAGAGACACACCCAGAGACAGCCTTTGCTGGGGCAGGATCTTTTGGGCTCAAAATGGAAAAGGAGGGCTCTGAGAAGGAAGGGTGTATGTGCAGAGCGAGGAAGGGTGGTGGCAGGAATTAACAAGAAAGAATAGAGGAAGACAAGAAAACAGGGGTATAAAAAAGAAAGAGACCAGAGTCCAGAGAAAATTGACAAGTGGACTTCTAAGAAGTCTGGCTTGGCTGCTTCCCTACCTGTTTGTGGTGTCTTTCGGGGGACCCCTTGGCAAGGCAGCTGCGGCTGAGACGGAGGTAGCCCCCCAGAACCAAGATCTCCTCGGCAGTTGGGTACCGCTTCTTCCCAGCCCCCGGGACTGCAGCATCAACTGTGGCTGGAGAGGTTGGGGTGGCTGGGGTCGCAGGGGGCACAGACCGCCGGGGGTTGACGGTGAAGGTGTGTCCACTGCGGCGGGGGGCCCCCACCCCTGGCCCTGCCTTCACCCCATAGAACAGGCGGCTCATGAGGGGATCCCCAGGAGGTTGGGGGGCAGTTGGGGCTGGGGGTGGGGGAGACAGAGGGGCTGGTGGTGGGGGCTGGAGCTCCACTGCTTCCTCTTCCTGCTGTCTCAGGCCTCCAGTCCCAGCGTCCTCTGGTGGGAGGGGGGAGGGCACAGAGCAGCAGTTCTGCAGGGCTCTCAGAGGCCTGCCCTGAGCCCCCGCCTCCTCCTTCTCAGCCTCCCCTTCTCCAGCCTCCACACCGGGAGATTCCAGAAGCTTCTCTGCTGACTCTGGAGGTTCTGGTTTCTGAGTTTGAGCCTCTATGTCCCTGGGTGTCCATTCTCGAGCCTTCCCGGAGTTCAGGGTCCATTTCCACCCTTCTGTTGGCTTCATGCCCCTCTCGCCATCTTCCACAGGCCTCTGCTCTGCTGCCTCCACTCCTGCGGAACTGTTGCCTTGGGCCTCCCTTGTCAGGGTCTCGGACAGCTCTGCAGTCTCTTTTGGAGCTACCCCTGGAACTGGCCACTCTTCTTTTCTCCCACATTCTTCCGAGTAGTCTTGTCTTTCTTCTCCTGACCTCAGCCTCCACTCTGTTGCCTCCAGTTGTACCAAACTCTGTTCCTGAGACTCTCTGGAGTCAGGTCTCCATTTATGGGCCTCTGTCAGGCCCAACTTCTGGTAGGCAGATTCCCCTGGGCTCAGTCTACTTTCCACCTCTTTTCTCCTGGGGCTTTGCTCTCGAGACTCTGCTAGTCTCAGACTCCGCTCTGGAGTTTCTCCAGGACTCAGCCTCCATTTCCATGCCTCTGACAGTCGGGAGCTCCTGTCTCCCACCTCTCCTGGGCTTTGCCTCCAGTCCCGAGCCTCCAGAGGCCTCAGGCTCAACTCTTGGGCTCCCCCTATCCCCAGCCTCCTCTCTCTGGTCTCCCTCGGACTTAGTCTCTCTTCTCTTGACTCTCTTCCCTTGGGGCTCTGATCCCGCATCTCCCCAGGGCTGGGTCTCCGCTCCCGGGCCTCCAGAGGCCCAGGCTTTCTCTCTGCTAGCAGCTCTTCACTCCGTTGTTGTTGCTGCTGCTGCTGCTGCCGCTCCTGCCGGATGAATCGGTTCTGGTGCACTGGCCCGATGGCCTCCAGAAGGACCGCAGACTCATCCGGGTCTGGAGGTCCAGCCTCTACAGTCCCTAGCACAGGGCTAGGCTCCCCAGGGGACAGCCCAAGCTTGGCCCGGCGGCGCTCCAGGAGCCCTCGTTTCCAGGCTGGCATCTGGGACAGGCGCTCCCGTTCTGCTTTCTCTCGGCCTCGAACGGACGCCTCCTCCTGCCGGCGCCGGGCTAGCAGCTGTAGCTTCCAGTCTGGGATGGTGGCCATGGTCGTCTTGAGGTGAGGGTAGGGAGCACTGGGGACAGAGAACAGGAAGGAGAGGCTCCAGAGAGTGAGACAGCCCGGGGGTGAGACTGAGGGTGGGAGGAGAGGAAGTGGAGGGGGAGAGGTGGGACACAAAGCAGGGCAGAGGGGCTAAGGATGAGGACAGAGGGAAAGACGGAAGGCAGAGAACTGGGGAAATGGAAAAAGTGAAGAGAAGTTGTGAGCCCAAGTTGGGGGTGGTGGGGGTGATGTGAGAGGAAGAGTCCGGATTGGAGGCAATGAGGGCAGGAGCCAGATGTGGCAGCACAGGGTTAATGCGTATTAAAGACCGTCTCTAGGATGTGAGAAAGAGAGAGAAGGGCGAAAAGGAAAGTTGGCGTGAGGGAGAAGAGAGAAATGTGGCAGGGGTGAGGGGAACCTGGGTGCAGGCCAGGCTGCCTCAGCGATACCCCAGGGAGGCTAGTGTGGGAAGGAAGGACCAGGAATCCCTGAAAGGACCAGGAGGCAACGGGACCTGAGGGGGTGTTGGGGAGGCAAGGAGGGGCGGAGAGCGAACAGGTCTAGAGGAGAAGGGAAACCAGGGAAGAGGGGAAAGGAGGGCGGCGGCAGCAGCCGGGCGCGTCTCAGCGCGGGCCCCAAAGGTCCCGGCTCCGCTTCCAGCACCGCTCGGGCCACGCCTCTCCCCAGCCCCCACCCCTCTGCCCCGCACTCCGCCCCCGAGGCGGGTCGGGGGAAATAGCCACCCCCGAGACTTTCGGAACCCGGGCGTCAGGGCTGCCAGCGCGTTCCCAGAACCCTGGCGTCCACCCCCACCCTGTCCTGTCACCACCGCCTGCCTCCCCCACCGACTGCCCCACGCGACCCCAGAGTGCCAAGGGCCGGCTCCATGTCTCTTCTCCCCGGCGCCTGCAAGTCCTGCGCCCCGTCCCCGCTCTCATGAAGCCGTGACAGAGCCGGCCGTCTCCACCCCGCTGTAGCCGCACAGACTGACAATCTCGGCACAAAGAGGAGACAGCCAAGGTCCGGGCCAGGGACGGGAGCAAGGACAGGGGCGAGGAGACACCCACTCCCCAAGTCTGAGCCCCTCAGTCAACTCACAGGCCGCGGGACCCCCGGGGGAGGGGGTGCGGAGGAGCCGGGCGTCCAGAGAGAGGAAGAGGAGGAGAGAGGGACCGAGGGAGATCCGGAGACTGGAGGGAGGGGAGGAGGGAGGGAGAGGAGGAGGGAAAGAGGCAGCAAAGGAGGAGGGACGGAGACAGAGACCAGGGGGCCGGGCGGGGGCGGCGACCGCTTTGTCTAAGGACAATGAGGAGAGGGAAGGGGGCGCAGGGCGGAGCCGAGGAGAGGGCGGGGCCTAGATCCCTCCCACCCCGCGTGGGACTCGCTGCGGGACTGCCCTCTTCTCGCCCCAACCACTGGTCCTCCGCTCTGTCCCCAGGGGCCCTCACCAGCTTCCCGCCCGGACACGCCAGGTGTCCAGATCCCTTCCCCCAGCTCGCCGACCCAGGGCGGTGGCCCGTGACTCAGGCCCCTCGTGGGACTTTGGGAGGAAGCGGCAGCTGCTCCGAGCGGGGCCCGCCCTTCCCATCTCCTGCCGCTCCTCCCTACGCTTTTGCCTTCTCATCTGGGTCTGTAGGTCCAGCCTCTGAAGTCCTTTGTTTTGCGGGGTCGAGGGCAGCCGCCAGGCTGTGGGGGGCTTTGTGGATGGGCGGCAGGAGAGGCGCTCAGAAGCCAGAGGTTTTGGATGCTCCCTCCCCTACCAGAGCTGCTGCCCCGACTCTTTCTAGCTTCAACCTGTCTCCCTTGGGTCTACAGGTCGGCTGCCGGGAAAAAGGGGATTTGAAGGAATGGGAATGGGGACCCGGCCGCTCTGGCAAAGTGGGGGCGGGTCTGCGGGGGTGGCCGAACCCCAGCGGTTGCCAGAGGGCGTGGTGGCTGCCCAGACTCCAGTTCGGTGCTCCCAGGCTCCCTCTGGCTTTCTTTCCCAAACTCAGCCCTGTAGCTTGGGAGACACTGACAGACTGCATGCCATATGTAGAAAAAGGCTGACTTTTATTTTCCTGCAGAGCATCTTCCTCGGGAGAGCAGGGAGCCCCAAGTCATCGAGTTAAGAGCAGGAGAATCCCCTTGACTAGGTTGGGGTCTGAGCCCAGAGGCAGGGCCTAAGGAGGTGCAGAGACTAGGGCCGGGAGTGGTGAGGCAAGGTTGGGGCCTGGAGGGACAGCTATGACCGTTGAACTTGCAGACCCTGGTCCACCTTCTTGGAGTGGAAGCCAGCGGTGCAGAAGGGGACCCCTGAGGCGCAGAGGCAAGTAACAGTGCCAGGGGAGTGGTCAGGGCAGATCCTTTCCTTCTCAGGAGGCTGTTGAGGGGGAGAGTGTCATGCTCTAAACAGTGAAGGGACAGATGACTTCCATACCCCACTCTTCCTTGCTGGTGAGAAGTGGACCTTGGAGTTCAGTGGCTGAAACTCAGAATTTAGGGTATGGAGCTGGACCCAGAGAATAAAGTCTCAAGTAGTAGAAGGGGCATCTCCTTCAGTCCATGGATTTGGGCCTCTGGCATGAAGCAGCCAGGGCCTGGATGTTAAGGATTTAGAATTCAGTGGGAGAGGAAGAACAGGGCTTGTAACCAGAGTGAGCTCCTCACTCTGCCTCCCCATCCTGGGGCCGAGAGAGCAGGTGGAGTTTTCTTTGTAGCTGGGCCCGGAGGTAGCGGAGGTCTTGCTGATCAAGCCCGTGAGCCAGGCCCAGGTAGAGGGTAAGGAGGAAAGCAAGGAGGAGACGGTCCGTGCCCAGGGTAGGCACCACCCACAGCACTGTCAGCAGCTCCACACACACTGGGTGGCGCAGGTGGGAGAAGAGTCTGAGAGCCCGGGGAGACTTCAGGGCCAGAGGCTCGCCCAGCCCCAGCACATGGTAGTATACCTAAGAGAGGGAGAAGAGCTTAGAAATGGAGTCAAGCCCTTTTCTCATCTTGGGCACTTCTTTCCTCCTCTTCCAGGCACCACCCTTCTAGAACTCAGGCCCAGGAACCCCCCTTCTGAGACTTGGATCCCTGATCCTGACTTCTGATCCATGTACCTTCCCCAGGCCCAGGAGGCCCATGCTTGCTGCCCTTACGAGGGAAAGTCAAAGGGAAGGGCCACGAGGGAGAAGCAGGGAGACAGTAGAAGAGCATGGGAGGAGGGAAACCCTTGAAAGGGAACGAGGAGTTCTAAAACGGGTCAGAGGTCATAGGTAGGGATCTCGGAGCCTCACCTGTTTGAGGCCCATGAGCTCAGCATAGTCAAAGACGAGAAGGATGCTAAAGATGAGGAGCCAGGAGATGACATGGAGCACAAAGCAGAGGAGCGGCACCCAGGTGGCCCATGGCTCAGCCCGAGCCTCCCACAACACAGGGCCTTTGGGTATGGGCTCCCAGTACCGCATCACCAGCTGTGGAAGGATAAGGGGCTGGGTATCCCAGTGGCCTAGTCTGCCCGACCTTGGGAGACCCAGACCCAGATCTGCCCCCACCACAGGCTAGCCTGCAACTCTCCCCCACCTCTCTCCTAAGCATCACCACCAAATATTCACCATGTGGAGGGTGCGTGCTGGGTGAGGTCCCAAAGATGTAAGGATGGCCTGTCTCTACCCTGAGAACTTATAGAATAGATGGGGTGACCTGATAGCTACGCAAAGTAGTAGCCTGTGCCAACCACCCAGTGAAAAGACAGACAAGGCCTTCTCTTCAGACCTAGGGAAGTGGTTTTGAAGAAAGGGTAGGACTGAAGAGAAGGGATCTCAAGCAGGACATAAACAAAGTTGCAGAGGTGAGAAGCATATCTTGTGCTTAGGGAAGGACAAGTACACCCTTCTTGATAAAAAGTAGGATATGTGCTGTGGAGGAATGGAAGCTGAGATTAGTTCCTCAATTCTCCTCCTGAACCCATATTTTGCCCCTCCAATCCACGGCACCCCTCCCACACTTGGTCTCCCTTGGGGACTCAACTGCCAGGATTTCATACCTGCAAGGCCAGGGCCTCATACCTGCAAGGCCAGGGCAGTGCAGGCCACATACAGTGACCTCTGAAGGACCCCAAAGTACCGGGATGTCCATGCCTTCACTCTTTCAGCTGCCATGAGGCTGTGCTGCCCAACAAATAGAAGCAGGAGCCCCAGATCCCATGCCAGGGGGGCAAGGATGCTGCGGTCCTGCAGGGCAGCCAGCCATCCCTGGCGGGCATCTACAGGAAGTTGAGGGAAAAAGAGACAAAAGATCGAAACAGTGGCAGAATGTTTCCCCCACCCTCATCTCCTCTTGGATCCCCAGGCCATGTCCCTTACTGCTTTCAAGAGCCTTAATGCTTCCTCTCTAGGCTGTGCCCATCTCACTTTTCCATCCCTAGTTTCTGCCCTCTTCCCTAGGCCTCCTGCAAACCTGGGGAAGAGGATTTATAGAACACCACATGTTAGGCAGTTGCAAAAAGCATGGCTGGAGAGGCCACGCTGGATTGCCCCTCTTACTTCGGTTCTCCAAATGCTCCTTCTTTTTAACACTCTCCTCTCAACAGTCCTCTCTACAAAACACTTTACTTAGAATACTCCGGTCACCGCCCTTTTCGGCTCCCTCAGTCCTCACTCTCCCGCCTCTCCAAAACTCTAATCCTTGAGTTCCTAATTTAGAACTCAGGTCTCCCTCCCCTGTAGCTTCTCGGCCGCTTTCAAGGTTCGAGTTCCCTCTCTTGGACTTCCCCTGTCATTTGTTTCCAAGCCCCGCCCTCAATCCCTCTCCTACGGCTCCACCTTCCTCCTCCCAGTTCATCCTCGATCCCTCCCGCTCACCCGGACCACCAGACTCCGGGATCCCTCCAAGAAGTGGCCGAAGGGAGGTAAAGCGCACGAACTCCACTCCGGTGCCAAAGGCCAGGATGAAAGAGGCGAGGGCAGCAGGGATCAGGAGCAGTGCAGGGGCCATGGCGAGAAATGGAGGGGTGGGGAAAGGGGCGGGGTCGGGATTCCCGCTGCCACAGGCCCCGCCCGCGGCCCCGCCCCCGGCTGAATCCAGCCCAGGAGGGCGGGGCTCCTGCACGCCACCGCCAGGCTTCCGGCCCGCCTGGCGCAGCCTTCCCCATCCAGCTGTGGATCCGTCCTGGGATGCGTGTCCCGGCCTGCTGTCTCTCCGTCACAGAAGGGAATGTTAGAATCCCGAGAGAGAGCTGTTAAGGGTAGCGGCTCTGCAGCCGCTCACGTGGGTTGAATCTCAGCTCGTCTAGTTTTCCCATCTAAAATGAAAAGTTACTGTTTTACCACAAAATAAATTAATGTATGGAATACATTGTACAGAATACAATATACAGAATAAATTCTGTAACTTACTATAAAGTTGAGTTGTTGACTGGCCAGTTGCTAAGAATGGCAAATAACTTCTCTGTAAATACTGAAAGGTTTGTTGTAATAGTGCCAGAGATTGTTGATTAGTAACCACGAGAATAAACATGTTAAAATATTTGTGATAGTAACCTTTGTCAGAATTAAAGATCATGCAGCTAAGGACCTTGTCACAGTAGACGTACACATAGTAGGGACCTTAGATATCATTAGACTAATTCCATCAACTTATAGATAGAAGAAACAGGTCCAGAGAGATAATTGCCTGAGTTAGGAAGCTGCTAATCCTGTAGGCTAAGGGACCAGATAATTGCTGAGCAGCCTCTCGCAGGCTTTACATTCCTTCTCCGTCTCCTGGGCTCAGTACTCCCACCCTCCTCTGAATCAATGCTGTTGTATGCTGTACCAGACATCTTATGTTTTCCCTTGAATTCAGTCTCCACCCTGCTTTCTGCTTCAGTAAGTTGTCCCAAATGGACGGTATCAATGAAAGTCACAGTTTTTATTGAGAAAGTCCTCTCGCCGGGCGCGGTGGCTCACGCCTGTAATCCCAGCAGTTTGGGAGGCCGAGGCGGGTGGATCACGAGGTCAGGAGATCGAGACCACGGTGAAACCCCGTCTCTACTAAAAATACAAAAAAAATTAGCCGGGCGCGGTGGCGGGCGCTTGTAGTCACAGCTGCTCAGGAGGCTGAGGCAGAAGAATGGCGTGAACCCGGGAGGCAGAGCTTGCAGTGAGCCGAGATCGCGCCACTGCACTCCAGCCTGGGCGACAGAGCAAGACTCCATCTCAAAAAAAAAAAAAAAAAAAAAGAAAAGAAAAAAAAAAAAAGAAAGTCCTCTCTACACGACTGCTCTGTCCTCATCTTTTTGAGCTTGGAGGTGATCACAACAGAGCTGTGGGTACTAAGGCACTGCACTATTCTTTCTGATTTCCCTACACCCTGCCTACTTCTTTGTAATTATCACTTTATTAAACTCTCCCCCAAATTATCCTAATTTCACTGTGCTATTCATTTCCTGCTAGGACCATGAATAGAGACACTTACCACACAAAGCAATGTGCTACAAGCTATGGGGTTCATTGGAAGTGTAAGAGGCCAGACTCGGTGGCTCACGCCTGTAATCCCAGCAATTCGGGAGGCTGAGGTGGGTGGATCACTTTAGACCAGAAGCTGGAGACCAGAATGGCCAACGTGGTGAAACCCCATTTCTACTAAAAAATTTTAAAAATTAGCTGGGTGTGGTGGTATGCGCCTGTAATCCCAGCTACTTGGGAGGCTGAGGCAGGAGAATCCACTGGGTGATGGAGCAAGATTCTGTCTCAAACAAAAAAATAAATAAATAAAATACAAGGAAGTGTAAGAAAAGATCCCTAATCTCTAGATGTTTAACCTGAGGCATTTAAATAGTACCACTCATGAAGAGGGAGTGTAGCTGAGTGCTACATGGTGCTCTACAGACAGCAGGTATGGTAAGAAATCAAGGTCTCTGGCTGGGCGCAGTGGCTCACAGCTGTAATCCCAGCACTTGGGAGGCCGAGGCAGTTGGATCATCTGAGGTCAGGAGTTTGAGACCAGCCTGGCCAACATGGTGAAACCTCGTCTCCACTTAAAAGACAAAAATTAGCCAGGTGTGGTGGCAGGAGCCTGTAATCCCAGCTTCTCGGGAGGCTGAGGCAGGAGAATCGCTTGAACCCGGGAGGTGGAGGTTGCGATAAGCTGAGATCTCGCCACTGGACTCCAGCCTGGGTGACAGAGTGAGACTCCGTCTCAAAAAAAAAAAAAAAGGAGCTGGGCGCGGTGGCTCATGCCTGTTATCCCAGCACTATGGGAGGCCTAGGTGGGTGGATCACGAGGTCAGGGGTTAGAGACCAGCCTGACCAACATGGCGAAACCCCGTCTCTACTAAAAATACAAAAATTAGCCGGGTGTGGTGGCACACACCTGTAGTCCCAACTACTTGGGAGGCTGAGGCAGGAGAATTGCTTGAACCTGGGAGGCGGAGGTTGCAGTAAGCCGAGATCGCGCCACTGCACTCCAGCCTGGGCAACAGAACAAGACTCCATCTCAACAACAACAACAAAAAAAAAAGGAGCCGGGTGCAGTGGCTCACGCCTGTAATCCCAGCACTTTGCGAGGCCAAGGTGGGTGGATCACCTGAGGTCGGGAGTTCGAGACCAGCCTGACCAACATGGAGAAACCCTGTCTCTACCAAAAATACAAAATTAGCTGGGCGTGGTGGTGCATGCCTGTAATCCCAGCTACTCAGAAAGCTGAGGCAGGAGAATCACTTGAACCCGAGAGGCGGAGGCTGCAGTGAGCCGAGATCACGCCATTGAACCCAGCCTGGGCAACAAGAGTGAAACTCTGTCTCAAAAAAAAAAAAAAAAAAATGGAAAGAAAGAAATCAGGGCCTCCGGGACATGGACAATTTTAGAGTATGAAAGCTTTGAGTTGTGCAAGGGGACTAATATTTATCTGGGTCATACTGTCTGCCACCCCCACAATGGCTGTGCTTAATGTATATTATGAGATTAGATATGTTTAATAGCCAGCAAAATGCTTGGCAAATCTCATGCTATTTCTACTACACCAAAGTTTTCCAAACTTAAGTATTACTTACATGCAGAAAAGTGTACATAAGTAATCAACTATTTTTTAAAAATTGAAATTCATGCAACATAAAATTAACCTTTTTTTTTTTTGAGTTGCGGTCCAGGCTGGAGTGCAGTGGTATGATCACAGCTCACTGCAACCTCGAACTTCTGGGCAAATGGTCCTCTTGCCTCAGCCTCCTGAGTAGTTGGGACTACAGGCATGCGCCACCACATTCAGCTAACTTTTTATTTTTTGTAGTGATGGGGTCTCACTATGATACCCAGGTTGGTCTCAAACTCCTTGGCTCAAGTGATCCTGCTGCCTTAGCCTCCCAGGGTGCCACCATGCCTTGCCTAACCACTTTATTGTATTTATTTATTTATTTATTTTTGAGACAGAGTTTCGCTCTTATTGCCCAGGCTGGAGTGCAATGGCGCGATCTTGGCTCACTGCAACCTCCGCCTCTTGGGTTCATGTGATTCTCCTGCCTCAGCCTCCCAAGTAGCTGGGATTACAGGCGCCCACCACCACATCTGGCCAATTTTTGTATTTTTAATAGAGATAGGGTTTCACCATGTTGGCCAGGCTAGTCTCAATCAAACTCCTGACCTCAGGTGATCCACCCACCTTGGCCTCCCACAGTGCTGGGATTACAGGCGTGAGCCACCACACCCGGCCTAGCCTAACCACTTTAAAGAGAATAATATAATGGTATTTAGTACATTAGTATATTAGTAATAGGTACAACCACCACCTCTATCTAATTTCAAAACATTTTTTTTTTGAGATGGAGCTTTGCTCTTATTGCCCATGCTGGAGTGCAATGGCTGATCTCCGCTCACTGCAACCTCTGCCACCCAGGTTCAAGCAATTCTCCTGCTCAGCCTCCCAAGTAGCTGGGATTACAGGCATGTGCCACCACGCCTGGCTAATTTTGTATTTTTAGTAGTGACAGGGTTTCACCATGTTGGTCCAGCTAGTCTCGAACTCCTGACCTCAAGTGATCCACCTGCCCCAGCCTCCCAAAGTGCTGGGATTACAGGCATGAGCCACCACGCTGGGCCTTCAAAACATTTTCATCACCCCCAAATAAAACTCCATACCCATGAAGTTACTCCCCATTTTCTCATCTCCCCCACCCCACAGCCACTGGCAACCACAAATCTGCTCTTGTTCTCTATGGGTTTACCTATTCTGGATATTCCTTACATGTGTAATCACATAATATGTGTTCTGTTTCTGGCTTTCCTTCACTTAGCAAAATATTTTGATATTCATCCTCAAAATATTGTAGCATATATCAGTATTTCATCCTTTTCTATGGTTGAATAATATTTGATTATATGGATATATCACAATTGTTTATCCACTCATTTGCTGATGAATATTTGTGTTGTTTCCACCTTTTTGGCTATTGTAAAAAGTGCTGATATGAACACTCACGTACAAGAATTTGTTTGAATAACTGTTTTCTTTTCCTTTTTTTTTTTTTTTTTTGGAGACAGAGTCGTGCTCTGTTACCCAGGCTGGAATGTAGTTGCACAATCATGGCTCATTGCAGCCTTGACCTCCTCCCACCTCAGCATTCCAAGTAGCTGGGATTACAGGCATGTGCCACCACACCTGGCTAAATTTTTTTTTTTTTTTTGAGAGAGAGTCTTTCTCTGTCACCCAGGCTGGAGTGCAGTGGCATGATCTCAGCTCACTGCAACCTCTGCTTCCCGGGTTCACGTGATTCTGCAGCCTCAGCCTCCCCAGTAGCTGGGATTACAGCCACATGCCACCATGCCCAGCTAATTTTTTTATTATTATTATTATTATTTTTTGAGACAGAGTCTCCCTCTATAGCCAGGCTCGAGTGCAGTGGCATGATCTTGGCTCACTGCAAACTCTGACTCTCTGGTTCAAGTGATTCTTCTGCCTCAGCCTCACGAGTAGCTGGGACTACAGGCGCACGCCACCACGCCCAGCTAATTTTTGTATTTTTAGTAGAGAGGGGGTTTCACCATGTTGGACAGGATGGTCTTGATCTCCTGACCTCATGATCCACCCGCCTCAGCCTCCCAAAGTGTTGGGATTACAGGCGTGAGCCACCAGGCCCAGTTAATTTTTTTTTTTTTTTAGACGGAGTTTTGCTCTTGTTGCAACGGCATGATCTTGGCTCACCACAATCTCCACCTCCCAGGTTCAAGTGATTCTCCTGCCTCAGCCTCCGGAGTAGCTGGGATTACCGGCATGCACCACCACGCCCAGCTAATTTTGTATTTTTTAGTAGAGACGGGTTTCTCCATGTTGGTCAGGCTGGTATCGAACTCCTGACCTCAGGTGATCCAACCACCTTCGGCCTCCCAAAATGCTGGGATTACAGGCATGAGCCACCACACCCGGCTAATTTTTGTATTTTTTAGTAGAGATGGGGTTTTGCCATGTTGGCCAGGCTCGTCTTGAACTCCTGACCTCAGGTGATCTACCCACCTTGCCTCCCAAAGTGCTAGGATTATAGGCGTGAGCCACCGCACCTAGCCCATTTTTGTATTTTTTGTAGTGACAGGGTTTTGCCATGTTGCCCAGACTGGTTGCCCGTGAAGTCCTGGGCTCATGCAATCCTCCCACTTTGGCCTCCCAAACTGCTGGGATTATAGGCATAAGCCACCCCACCCAGCCTGGACACCTGATTTAAATTCTTTTGGGTGTACACCTAGGAGCAGAATTGCTGGACTGTTCGGTAATTCCGTATTTAACTTTCTTTTTTTTCCTCCAATTTGAGAGCAGGTACTGCTTAAGTGCTTAGATTAGAAAAACAATCACAGTAGACACCTTAGCTCATTCTTCTAATAAGTCTGTTGATCCGGTTCTCCCTGTTGCCAGCATGTCCACTTTCTACAAAATGGGTGGTCTTTTTCTTTACTCTACCTTGTGGAGAGGATAATTTGAAGGGCTACAGGAAGTTATTTGCTTCTTTGAAGCATTTTCCAACAGTATAGATCTCAAGAATCAGATCCTCCATGCAGGTGATGCCATATTTACCAAGAGATAAAGCAATCAAAGTGTCATCTGTCAAAGCAATTTGCTTCTTATTGATTTTTGCCATAACCATGCTGGTAGATTAGTTCATTTACTGACTTCAGCTTTGGGTACCCCCATGCCATATATGGTTCTACAATCCTCAGCATGTTCATTGAAGCCTTGTTGAGCTTCACAAAGGTTCCACTGAAGATTTAACAAAGGCGAAGAAGCTGCAACACCTTTCGGACCTTTGGGTTCACACCACTGATACCTCTGATCCTGATGACAAACGGCAATTTGGGTTTTGCAGGTACATAGAAGTTGCCAGCTTTTCTGGCCATCCTAGCCATTCGAATTTCAGTTCTGTACATCTGCCTATATTCCTTGTGATAGTGCTTCACTTTTTCATAGATAAGCTTCCTCCTTGCCTTTTGAATCATCTTTTGGGCAAATTTCTTTCTCGGGCCTTTGATCTTCAGCTCTGGGAAATTCCTTCGCTTTTTAAGGGTTTCTGGCATAGCAAGAACCTCCTTCTTTTTCTCTCTCTTTTTTTTTTTAAGACGGGGTCTTGCTCTGTCTCCCATGCTGGAGTGCAATGGTGCGATCTCGACTCAATGCAACCTCCCCCTCCTGCATTCAAGCAATTCTCCTGCCTCAGCCTCCTGAGTAGCTGGGATCACAGGGGCTGGCCACCATGCCCGGCTAATTTTGTTTTGAATTTTTAGTAGAGACGGGGTTTTGTCATGTTGGCCAGCCTGGTCTTGAACTCCTGACCTCAGGTGACCTGCCCACCTCGGCCTCCCAAAGTGTTGGGATTACAGGTGTGAGCCACTGCACCCCGGCCCTCTCCTTCTTATCTACAACACTCTACATGAGGGTTCCAGCCAGAAAAGAGGCTACTTTTTTTTTTTTGTTTTTTTTTTGAGAGGGAGTCTCGCTCTGTCGCCAGGCTGGAGTACAGTGGAGCAGTCTTGGCTCACTGCAACCTCCACCTCCCGGGTTCAAGCGATTCTCCTGCCTCAGCCTCCCGAGTAGCTAGGACTACAGGCGCCTGCCACCACGCCTAGCTAATTTTTTGTATTTTTAGTAGAGACGGGGTTTCTCCATGTTAGCCAGGATGGTCTCAATCTCCTGATCTTGTGATCTGCCCACCTTGGCCTCCCAAAGTGCTAGGATTACAGGGGTGAGCCACCACGCCTGGCCTTTTTTTTTTTAGATGGAGTCTTGTTCTGTTGCCCAGGCTGGAGTGCAGTGGCACGATCTCAGCTCACTGCAACCTCCACTTCCCGGGTTCCAGCAATTCTTCTGCCTCAGCCTCCCAAGTAGCTGGGATTGCAGGCACATGCCACCACGCCCGGCTAATTTTTGTATTTTAAGTAGAGACGGGATTTCACCATGTTGGCCAGGCTGGTCTCTAACTCCTGACCTCAGGTGATCCACCTGTCTTGACTTCCCAAAGTGCTGGGATTACAGGCATGAGCTGCCGTGACTGGCCTTTTATTTTTTTGAGACAAGGTCTCACTCTGTTGCCCAGGCTGAAGTGCAGTGGCTCGTGTCCACCCACTGCAGCCTTGACCTCCTGGGCTCAAACGATTTTCCTCTTAGCCTCCCAAGTAGCTGGGACCATAGGTGTGTGCCACCATGCCCAGTGAATTTTTGTATTTTTGGTAGAGACGAGGTTTTGTCATGTTGCCCGGCTGGCCGTGAACTTCTGAGCTCAAGTGATCTGCCAGCCTTGGCCTCCAAAGTGCTGGGATTACATGTGTGAGCCACTGTGCCCATCCATATGTTTAACTTTTTGAGGAACCATCAAACTGTTTACCACAGAGGCTGAACCATTTAACATTCCTACCAGCAATGTATAAGGATTCTAATTTCTCCACATCCTTGTAATCAACCAACTTTTAAAATTTAAATCTGGCTGGGCACGGTGGCTCAAGCCTGTAATCCCAGCACTTTTGGAGGCTGAGGTGGGTGGCTCACTTGAGGTCACGAGTTAGAGACCAGCTTGGGCAACATGACAAAACCTCGTCTCTACCAAAAATACAAAATTCATCGGGCATGGTTGCACACACCTATGGTCCCAGCTACTTGGGAGGCTGAGAGGAAAATCGTTTGAGCCCAGGAGGTCAAGGCTGCAGTAAGCCGACATCGAGCCACTGCACTTCAGCCTGGGCAACAGAGTGACACCTTGACTCAAAAAGATAAAAGGCCAGTCATGGCGGCTCATGCCTGTTATCCCAGCACTTTGGGAAGTCAAGACAGGTGGATCACCTGAGGTCAGGAGTTCGAGACCAGCATGGCCAACATGGTGAAACCCCGTCTCTACTACAAATACAAAAATTAGCCGGGTGTGGTGGCATGTGCCTGTAATCCCAGCTACTCGGGAGGCTGAGGTGGGTGGATCACTTGAGGTCAGAAGTTAGAGACCAGCCTGGGCAACATGACAAAACCTCATCTCTACCAAAAATACAAAAATTTAGTAGAGCCCCGTCTCTACTAAACAATAAAAAAAAGAAAATTAGCCAGGCATGGTGGTGTGTGCCTGCAGTCCTAGCTACTCAGGAGGCTGAGGTGGGACTATTGCTTGAACTGGGAGGTGGAGGTTGCAGTGAGCCAAGATGGTGCCACTGCACTCCAGCCTAGGTGACAGAGATGAGACCCTGTCTCAAGAAAAAAAAAAAAATCTTAAGAAATGTCATACAAATTGTCCTAAATAGAAGATAATGATGAATTAAATACAAGTCTATGACTTTTTTTTTTTTAAGTTTGTGTCTTGAGACCTAGACATTTTAAAAAACTACACTACACCATAAGGCACAGAGTGAATATTTATTTATCACAGAGGTCAAGCCGAAGCTCTAATTTTATAAATCCTGGAAAAGCTGGCCAGAAAAGTACAGAGACTTGCCCAAAGTCAAAGCTAAAGATGCTTCCAGAGGCCAGGAGAGAAGAAAATGTTTTAGTAGCACTCCATAACTGGACCCTCAAATCTACTCACTCCAAGCATCCCTTCAAGTTCCTGACCCCAAAGTAAGAATCTCAGTAAGAAAAAAATAGAGATGGTTTCCAAATAGGAGGTAGGACACCATGAGTGGCATCGAGCAATAACTGCAACAGTCTGGCTAAAGATAGCTGCCACTTATGACATCTGAGCATGAAACTAGCTAATTTTAAAATGGCCATTTAATACATGCATGTAAGAAATCTTGTATCCCCTAAATCTATACAAATAAAAAACTATAAATACAAATAAAATAAAATGGCCATTAAAAAAACAAACAAACAAACAAAAAACAACCTGTGGCTTCCAAATCCCTTATCTTTTCATTTATTCATAAAGATTTCTGGTCCCACCCATGTTCCAGGACAAGTTGTATCAATATACCCCAATCCTTTCTAACGCCCTGAGTTCTTTCTTCCACATATCTTCTAATTCGTGGTCTGGGAGGGAAAAGGGTAGTGGAGTTCTCAGGTGGATGACATCTCCAAAGGGGAGAGGACAAAGGCCTCTGGCTTGGCTTCCTGCTTCAGCACTCCAGTCAGCAGGAACTCAGGCGAGAGGAGGGGCAGCCCAACCCGTAGTGGAATGGAGCAATGAGGGAAGTCCTGAGGGCATGTGATCACAACTCTCTGAGGCTGGGGAAGACAGAGCAAAGGCAAAATCAGGTGAAAAAGAATCCTAGAAATGGGTTCAGGACCCACTAACCAGTCTTACCATCACTAAAATAATACCTCCTAATATGAAGCCAAGTGAAGCACACCGCATACTGTCTATGAAATACTCTTGCTAGGCCGGGCGCAGTGGCTCATGCCTGTAATTACACAGCACTTTGGGAGGCTGAGGCGGGTGGATCACGAGGTCAGGAGATCAAGACCACGGTGAAACCCTGTCTCTACTAAAAATACAAAAAAAAAAAAAAAAAAAAATTAGCCGGGCGCGCTGACGGGTGCCTGTCGTCCCAGCTACTCGGGAGGCTGGGGCAGGAGAATGGCGTGAAAACCCAGGAGGCGGAGCTTGCAGTGAGCCGAGATCGCGCCACTGCACTCCAGCCTGGGCTACAGAGCAAGACTCCATCTCAAAAGAAAAAAAAAAAGAAAAAAAAAAAAGAAATACTCTTGCTAGAGGCCAGGCACAGTGGCTCACGCCTATAATCCCAGCACTTTGGGAGGCCGAGGTGGGTGGATCACGAGGTCAAGAGATCGAGACCATCCTGGCCAACATGGTGAAACCCCGTCTTTAGTAAAAATAAAAAAATTAGCTGGGCGTGGTGGTGTGCGCCTGTAGTCCCAGCTACTCGGGAGGTTGAGGCAGGAGAACAGCTTGAACCCGGGAGATGGAGGTTGCAGTGAGCCAAGACTGCTCCACTGTACTCCAGCCTGGCGACAGAGTGAGACTCTCTCAAAAAAAAAAAATACTTTTGCTAGAAAGATGAACCTGAATTTATTCAAGCTTTTACAATTATCTGCAATTTCCAGGAAATATGGAGTACAGAGGAACAAGATAAATTATATGACAAGGAGGCAAACCCAAAATTCCAGACTGAGGAACATTCTAAAGGACAAGTGACCCAGCTTCTGCAGGAAATAGATGGCATAAAAAAAGCTGGGTGGGTTAAGGGATGCTCTAGAGTAAAGATAATTAAGAAGATAATAGGTGTGGCAGTATGTGGACCTTATTTGAATCCTGATTTGAACAACTGTATAGAGACATTTTTCAGACAATGGGAGAAATTTTATTAATGGAGTGTGAGCAAATGACCAATAAACTACTGTTAATTTTGCTTAGGATCAATAATGGCATTGTGATTATGAAATAAAATGTACGTATTTCTTAGAGATATATATTTAAGTATGTAGGAAGAAATAATATAATATTGGCAGTTTGCTTTAAAATATTTCAGCAAAGAAAGAGAAAGGAAAAAAAGAAAGAATAAAGAAAAATAAAAAGAAATGAAATACTTCAGCAAAGAAAATCAAAGGAAAAAGCCGGGCGCGGTGGCTCACGCCTGTAATCCCAGCACTTTGAGAGGCCGAGGCGGGCAGATCATGACCTCAGGAGATCAAGACCATCCTGGCTAACACAGTGAAACCCCATCTCTACTAAAAATACAAAAGAATTAGCCGGGCGTGGTGGCGGGCACCTGTAGTCCCAGCTACTCGGGAGGCTGAGGCAGGAGAATGGTGTGAACCCAGGAGGCGGAGATTGTAGTGAGCCGAGATTGTGCCACTGCACTCCAGCCTGAGAGTGAGACTCCATCTCAAAAAAAAAAAAAAAAAAAAAAAAAGAAAATCAAAGGAAAAAAGGGATAGATGGAGCAAATGTAGCATAATCTAAATTAAGCTGCTGCTGAATCTCGGTGATTGTTATATGGGGGTATCAGCAGATCTGTCCCCTCATTCCTATCCCTTTCTATACCATAGGTCTTTTCCCCCACCCTCTCACTACTTTATATTCCTTTCTGAACCTCCATTTTTTTCCCTCCAATCTTTGCCATTCCAGCCACCTCTTTAACTGCCATTGCCACCTCACCCAGACCCAGAACATCCTAAGCATACCTTATAGGACCGAGGCATGCTGGGTAGGTATGTGCCTCCACAGCAGCTAATAATCTCTCCCATCTGAGGTGGTGGTGGCTGGACTCCAGGGGTCACATAGATCTCATAGCCCTAAGAGAAAGAAATGATGGAGATGGTATTGTAGATTGGGAAGCACTGGAGGGAGGGCTG
Organism: Homo sapiens; assembly: GCF_000001405.40. Taxonomy (NCBI): domain Eukaryota; kingdom Metazoa; phylum Chordata; class Mammalia; order Primates; family Hominidae; genus Homo; species Homo sapiens. The sequence continues at coordinate 2,046,800 of NT_167247.2, forward strand.
AAGCACAGGTTAAAAGATAGCCTCTCACCTCTAGCAGCCTTCGCTCCCGAGCCCTGCTCAGTGCGTCTTGAAGGCTAAAGCCAAAGTTCTTCTCTTGCTCAGGGTCGGTCACCACATATTCATCCGGGGGTAAGAAGAAACCAGCCTTGCGGGACTAAGGACGGCAGCAGTCAGCATCAAAGCTCAGCCCAGCCCCTCAATCAGCTCTGCTGCCTAGCATTTAGAGAGAGCTCACAAAATGTCTTTTAAATCAATGCAGGCTTCTGGCTCACCAATGCCCCTGTCTTCCTGTAACGCCTCTTCCCTTCCACCACTTTCTAGGGCACTATATGAGCAGTCTTGCCACTATATCGGTCTGTCATCATCCCTTGGCCTCTCACCTGATGCAGCCAGTCCAGGGACAGAATGGGGATTCCCCGCCCCAGGGCACACAGGAACTTGACTGTCCGGCGGATGCGATCAGTGACCAGGTGGGAAGCCTCTGCCGCTGAACCAGCCAGACTTCCCCCCAGTGCCAGCACAGCCCGCTCTCCCCGAGCATCCACCACTCCTGTGAAGAGCACCTGTGGAAGGGTTGACCTGAGGTGGTTACGGCAACCCATGCCATCAGCACCCATCTCTACAATCCTCTAGGTCTCCTTGCATCCTCCCCTCATCTCTGTCTCCCACAAAGTCCCATGCCTTTGTCTCTTACTTTGGGGGCTGTTGATTCTTGGTTAAGTTTGGTCCGTCGGAGGCTGCGGCTTGGTATTCTGTTGGGCTCCTCCTCTGCCTGGTCTCTCTTTCTCTTGCCTGGTTTTGGAGTCACGACATCCTGAGATTGAGAAAAATCTTGGTGGGAGTTTCAGAGCCCTGAAGTCATTTTTCCCAGCTTTGTGGTCCCAACCCTCTCCTCACCTCTTCCTTCCCTGGCTTCTCTGCAGTATCTTCTTCCTCTTCCTTGATAATCACTGTCTTCTGGGAGACTTCCCCTCTTTGGGGCTGTTTTTGATGTGGTGGTGAATCCATGGTAGCTAAAGACCTCTTGCGGCTTTGAGAGGCCTTAGGCTGGAGCTCCGGGGTGAACCTAGATCTACCTGCTGGTTCCACCTTTTGGATCTGGGAGGCATGAATTGGTGTCTCAAGAAGCTGGGGAGAGGCAGGCTCAGGAATGGCTGTAAGGGATTCAGCTGCTCTCACTGCTCCCCATCTTTGGTTCCTTGAGGCCTGGGATTTAGGTTCCAAGGGTGCAGAGCAAGGCTTATGGTCAATGGGAGCTGCGAGGGAGCCAGGGTTCCCAGCGGCTCTCTGCCTCTTGATGCAACTGGGTTGAGTAATAGGCTCAGGGGAAATAGGCTGGTCTGTGGTGACAGGAGATTGGAATTCAGGGGTGGTAGGAACCGGCATAGCTCTTACTGTGGAAGACCTCAGTGTTTTGCTCTGACCACCCTGAGCTATGGCCTCAGGGGTGACGGACTGGTCTGTGGGGGTAAAAGGCTCAAGATCAGAGGCTGCTGGTTCAACTGGTTTGGGAGTCTTGACAGAGGACCTATTTGTCTTTCTCCTAGTGGCCCTAGATGTGAGCTTGGGGGTGACAGGCTGGTCTGTGGAGGTGGTAGGATGGGGCTCAGGGGCTGTGGGGACAACTGGCTCAGGGGTCTTGACAGAGGACCTATTTGTCCTGCACCTAGTGGCCCGAGATGTGGGCTCAGGGGTGACAAGCTGGTTTCTGGAGGTGGAAGGCTGAAGCTCAGGGGCTATAGGGACAATTGATTCAGGGGTCTTGACAGAGGACCTATTTGTCCTGCCCCTAGTGGCCCGAGATGTGGGCTCAGGGGTGACAGGTTGGTCTGTGGAGGTGGAAGGCTGGAGCTCAGGGGCTGCGGGCACAACTGTTTCAGGGGTCTTGACAGAGGACCGATTTTTTCTTCCCCTAGTGGTCCGAGATGTGGGCTCAGAGGTGACAGGCTGGTCTGTGGAGGCGGAAGCCTGTAGCTCAGGGGCTGTGGGGACAACTGTTTCAGGAGTCTTGACAGAGGATCTATCTGTTCTTCCCCTAGTAGCCTGAGACGTAGGCTCAGGGGTAACAGGCTGGTCTGTGGAGGTGGAAGGCTGGAGCTCAGGGGCTGTGGGGACAACTGTTTCAGGGGTCTTCACAGAGGACCTATTTGTCCTGCCCCTGGTGGCCTGAGATGTGGGCTCAGGAGTGACAGGTTGGTCTGTGGAAGTGGAAGGCTCGAGCTTAGGGGCTGTGGGGACAAGTGTTTCAGGGGTCTTGCCAGAGGATCTATTTTTTCTTCCCCTAGTAGCCCGAGATGTGGGCTCAGGGGTGACAGGCTGCTCTGTGGAGGTGGAAGGTGGGAGCTCAGGGGCTATAGGGACAGTTGATTCAGGGTTCTTCACAGAGGACATATTTGTCCTGCTCCTAGTGGTCCGAGATGTGGGCTTAGGGGTGACAGGTTGGTCTGTGGAGGTGGAAATCTGGAGCTCAGGGGCTGTGGGGACAACTGTTTCAGGGGTCTTGACAGAGGACATATTTGTCCTGCTCCTAGTGGTCCGAGATGTGGGCTTGGGGGTGACAGGTCGGTCTGTGGAGGTGGAAGGCCGGAGCTCAGGGGCTGTGGGCACAACTGGTTCAGGGGTCTTGACAGAGGATCTATTTTTTCTTCCCCTAGTAGCCTGATATGTGGGCTCAGAAGTGACAGGCTGGTCTGTGGAGGTGGAAGGCTGGAGCTCAGGGGCTGTGGGGACAACTGGTTCAGGGGTCTTGACAGAGGATCTATTTTTTCTTCCCCTAGTAGCCTGAGAGGTGGGTTCAGAGGTGACAGGTCGGTCGGTGGAGGTGGAAGGCTGGAGCTCAAGGGCTGTGGGCACAACTGTTTCAGGGGTCTTGACAGAGGATCTACTTTTTCTTCCCCTAGTAACCTGAGATGTGGGCTCAGAGGTGACAGGCTGGTCTGTGGAGGTGGAAGGCTGGAGCTCAGGGGCTGTGGGGACAACTGGTTCAGGGGTCTTGACAGAGGACCTATTTGTCCTGCTCCTAGTGGCCTGAGATGTGGGCTTGGGAGTGACTGGCTGGGCTGTGGAGGTGGAAGGGTGGGGCTCAGGGGCAGCAGAGGTAGCTGGAAAGGGTGTCATTCTGGAGGACTTCCGAGTTCTAATTTTAGGCTTTGGGTGGAAAGGCTCCAGCTCTGAGGACAAGGGAGCCTCTGGAGCTTCCTGACTCCCATCTTGCCTGGTCTTACGAACGGTTGGCTTGATAGAAGGTAAAAGGGGAGAAAGAAGGGGCGGAGGTGCAAGATGTTTCTGGCTCTGAGAGTTAAGGGGCTTTTGGGGTGGGGCTGGGGCTTCAGGTACTGTAGGAGGCAGACAAGCATCTGGAGATTCCTGATCGCCCTAGGGAGAAACAGAAGCAAGTGAGGGGGAGGAGGTGGAGAAAAGAGATAGAACTTGGATACTGTTCTTGATACTTGTTTATGGTTAGATAGGCTTACCAGATTTCCACCGGGCGTGGTGGCTCACGGCTATAATCCCAGCACTTTGGGAGGCCGAGGCGGGCGGATCACGAGGTCAGGAGTTCAAGACCAGCCTGGCCAACATAGTGAAACCCCGTCTCTACTAAAAATACAAAAAAAAAGGCCAGGCATGGTGGCTGATGCCTGTAATCCCAGCACTTTGGGAGGCCGAGGCGGGTGGATCACAAGGTCAGGAAACCGAGACCATCCTGGCTAACACGGTGAAACCCCGTCTCTACTAAAAAATACAAAAAATTAGCCGGGCGTGGTGGCGGGCGCCTGTAGTCCCAGCTACTTGGAAGGCTGAGGCAGGAGAATGGCGTGAACTCGGGAGGCGGAGCTTGCAGTGAGCCGAGATGGTGCCACTGCACTCCAGCCTGGGGGACAGAGCAAGACTCTGTCTAAAAAAAAAAAAAAAAAAAAAAAAATTAGCTAGGTGTGTTGGCAGGCGCCTAGTAGTCCCAGCTACCTGGGAGGCTGAGGGAGGAGAGTCGCTTGAACCCGGGAGGCAGAGGTTGCAGTGAGCCAAGATTGCGCCACTGCACTCCAGCCTGGGTGACAGAGTGAGACTGTCTCAAAAAAAACAAAAAAATACACAAAAATTAGCCGGGTGACATGCGCCTGTAGTCCCAGCTACTTGGGAGGCTGCGGCAGGAAAATTGTTTGAACCCAAGAGACGGAGGTTACAGTAAGCTGAGATCACGCCACTGCACACTCCAGCCTGGGTGACAGAGACAGACTCTGTCTCAAAAAAGAACAAAAACAAAAAATATGCTCACTGGATTTTCCTTTCTGTCTATGATCTCTCCTCCATTAGACTGGGATCTACCTGGGAAGCTACCTTTTTCCCACAGACCTGTCTCCATAATGCTACTATAGTGTTCTCCACACGTGGATGATGGTAAGGAAAAGGATGGCTGGGGCAAAGAAAGAAGAAACACGAAGGGTCTTTCTTTTGAGTCAGGTAGGAGATACAACTTAGGAAACAGATATGGAAAACAACGGGTGCCGAGGATAAAGGAATAGAAGCCAATCAAGGCGTGACAAAAATGGAAGAAAACTGAATAATGAGAAAGGAATAGATTAAAGTGAGGCTAGGTGAAAGAGCATTGGAGAAGATATAGAGATGACTTGTGGAATAGGAGGTAGAAAAAGTAGCTCTCACCCTGGAAACCTTCTCAGCAGCTCTGATCCTGGAAGCCTTCTCAGCAGGTGGCATCTTGCAATTCAGGAGGCCTAGACAGAAAGTAAACACAAAGGTGGCTGAGTTCCAAGCAGCTGGTTGCCCAGGGGTTGATTATCACGAGGCCTGTGTATCACCTTGGGTTCCCCTCTGCCTTCACTTACCTTTCTGATGCCTCCTGGGGCTCACTGGGGATCCCCTTCCACCTGACTGGCTCCCAGAAGGTACGGGGGCTGAGGTAGGTCCCGGAAGGTCCCCCGCCCCCACCCCAGGCTCTGGTGTTGGGCTGGAGGCCTGCCCTTTCTGGTCCTGGCTCCCTCCCTCTGGCTCCCCTCTCTGTGTATCTCTCTCCAGGATCACTTTGGGCACCTTCTCTTCTAACTCGGCTGGATCGCACTCTCTGTTTGCTACTGGTCTCTCTACTTCTCTCTCAAATGCTTTGCTTGGAAGGGTCTGCTTCTGTACTTGTTTCTCTTGTATTTCCTCAGATGTCTCAATTTCTACCTTCAAACTCTCCCTATCTCTTTCAGGACTTGCACTTTCCCCATTTTTGTCAGATTCTTGTCTCTGGGTGTCTCTAGCTAACAACTGTTTTTGTTCTCTGTCCTGTTTCCCCTTGGTTAATTCTTCCTCTCCTGTCACATCTGTCTGTCTTTCTGGTAGCAGTTTCTCAGTTTCTCTCTCCAATGGCCCTCTCTCAGGGCCCACCCTCTCTGCTGTTTCTTTTGGTATACCCATGACTTTATCCACAGTCTGCCTCCCTCTGCCTTGAATCCCCATTGGCTCTGTGTGAACTGGGCTCTCTGGATGTTGGTCTCCTGGTATTGCCCTAGGTGGAGACAGGCAAGGTCCATAGGCCTCAAGGTGCGTGTCAAAAGGCTGGGTCTCAGAGTCCTCAGACTCTCTCAGACAGAATGGCTGTGTAGCCAGGACCTCCCATGGTTCATCTAGGGTACCTGGAAGGGGAGGAAGGAAGAGAGAGAGAGGGAGAGGGAGAGAAAAGAGGGAGAGGAAGAGGGAAAGGGAAGTACAGGTTGACATAATAAATATGATGAGAAAGGATTTAGATAAACTCATGAATAATAAATCTGAACAGGTTATTAAAGGTAAGCTGGGAATAAGGGTGGTAGTTATAACATTTAACGTTTGTCTCAAAAAGGTCATAGCCTTAGGCGGGCATGGTGGCTCAGACATGTAATCCCAGGACTTTGGGAGGCCAAGACATGAGGATTGCTTGAGGCCAGGAGTTTGAGACTAGCCTGGACAACATGGCAAAACCCCATCTCTACAAAAAATACAAAAAAATTAGGTGTGGGGACGGGGACCTGTAGTCCTGTAGTCTCAGCTACCCGGGAGGCTGAGGTAGGAGAACTACTTGAACCCCAAAGGTCAAGACTGTAGTGAGCTGTGATCATACCACTGCACTTCAGCCTGAGTGACAGAGACTCTGTCTCAAAAAAAAAAAAAAAAAAAAACCCAAGAGAAAAAGAAAAACATCATAGCCTAATATGAGTTCCCTGAATAGTCTCTCATCATACCACTGCATTCCAGCCTGAGTGACAGAGACCCTGTCTCAAAAAAAGAAAGAAAGAAAGAAAGAAAGAAAAACATCATAGCCTAATAAGAGAGTTCCCTGAATAGTCTCTCTCTCTCAAGACAGTTTCACTCTGTCACCCAGGCTGGAGTGCAGTGGCATGATGTTGGCTCACTGCAACTCCCAACTGCTGGGCTCAGGAGATCCTCCCACCTCAGCCTCCCAAGTAGCTGGGACTACGGCATGTGCCAAAGTGCCCGGCTAATTTTTTGTATTTGTTGTAGAGATGGGGTTTGGTCTTGAACTCTTAGACTCAAGTGATCCACCCACATTGGTCTCCCAAAGTGCTGGGATTACAGGTGTGAGCCACCATGCTTGGCTGGAATTTCCTTCTTTTTAAAGGCTGAATAGTATTCCACTGTGTATATATACCACATTTTCTTTTTTCTTCATTGACACATAATAATTGTACATATTTATGGGGTACCTGTGCTATTTTGACTCATGCATACAATGTACAATGATAAAACCAAGATAATTGGGATATCCACTATCTCAAACATTTATCATTTCTTTGTCTTGGAAACATATCAAATCTCTTCTAGCTATTTTGAAATACACAATAAATTATTAACTATAGTAACACTACTGTGGAACTGAACACTAGAACTTATTCATTCAATCTGACTGGATTTTTGTATTCATTAACCAACCTCTTTATGCATTCTGTCCCTCTACCCTTCCTAGCCTTTGGTAACCACCATTCTACTCTCTACTTCCATGAGATCCATGTTTTTAGCTCCCACATGAGTGAGCATACAATATTTGCCTTTCTGTGCTGACTTATTTCACTTAACATAATGTCCTCAGGGTTCATCCATGTTGCTGCAGATGACAGGATTTCATTCTCTTCTGTTGCTGAATACTGTTCCACTGTGTATATATACACATTTTCTTTTTTTTTTAGATTGAGTCTTGCTCTGTCACCCAGTTTGGAGTGCAGTGGCATGACCTCAGCTCACTGCAACCTCTGCGTCTTAGGCAGCAATCCTCCCATCTTAGCCTCCCGAGTAGCTAAGACTACAGGTGCATGCCACCATGCCCAGCTAAATTTTGTATTTTGAGCCACTGCACCCAGCCTATATACACATTTTCTTTTTTTTTATTATTAGAGATGAAGTCTCACTCTGTTGCCCATGTTGGAGTGCAGTGGTGTGACCTTGGCTCACTGCAACCTCTGCCTCCGGGGTTCAAATGAGTCTCCTGCTTCAGTCTCCCGAGTAGCTGGGACTACAGGCACCTGCCACCATGCCCAGCTAATTTTTGTATTTTTAGTAGAGACAGGGTTTCACCATGTTGGCCAGGCTGGTCTCAAACTCCTGACCTCATGTGATCCACCCACTTCGGCTTCCCAAAGTGCTGGGATTACAGGCATGAGGCACTGTGCCCGGCCTACATTTTCTTTTCTTTCGTTTTTTTGAGACAGAGTTTCACTCTTGTTGCCCAGGCCAGAGTGCGATGGCACAATCTCAGCTCACTGCAACCTCTGCCTCCTGGGTTCAAGGGATTCTCCTGACTCAGTCTCCTGAGTAGCTGGGATTACAGGCATGCACCACCACACCCGGCTAATTTTGTATTTTTAGTAGAGACGGGGTTTCTCCATGTTGGTCAGGCTGGTCTCAAGCTCCCGATCTCAGGTGATCTGCCTGCCTTGGCCTCCCAAAGTGTTGGGATTAGAGGTGTGAGCCACTGTGCCCGACCCCGGCCTACATTTTCTTTATCCATTCATCTGTTGATGGACATTTAGTTTGATTTCATATCTGCCTATTGTGAACAGTGCTGCAATAGTGTGTGTGTGTTTTTTTTAAGAGACATTGGGGGTGGGGGTTGAGGGATGGGCTATTGCCCAGACTGGGCTCAACTGATCTTCCCATCCTGGCCTCCCATGTAACTGGGACTACAGGTGCTCACTACTATGCTGGGCTAATTTTTTCATTTTTGTGGAGACCAGGTCTCTCTCTGTTGCCCAGGCCAGTCCCTAAATATTTTCAACCTGCAGCTGGTTGAATTCACGGACGCAAACTCGCATACACAGAGGGCTCACTGTAATCAGAGTATGAAAGAAACATGTAGGAAGGCAAATCAAGAAAGAACGCAGGCCGGGCGCAGTGGCTTACGCCTGCAATTCCAGCATTTTGGGAGGCCGAGGCAGGCGGATCACTTGAGGTCGGGAGTTTGTGACCAGCCTGGCCAACATGGTGAAACCCTGTCTCTACTAAACATACAAAAAATTAGCCAGGCATGGTCATGGACAGCTGTAATCCCAGCTACCTGGGAAGCTGAAGGAAGAGAAACCGCCTGGGAGGCGGAGGTTACAGTGAGCCGAGACTGCACCACTGTAATCCAGCCTGAGTGACAGAGGAAAAAAAAGAGAATGCAGAATTGGGGACACAGAGGAGGGAAGAGTTTCTTATACCTGTTGTCTGGAAGCTGCAATGGGAAGGGCCAAGCTCTTGGGGTGGAGTCAACATGAAGGCCTGGGTAGGTTCATCCTCCATGCTCTGGACTGCTGTACAGGAAAAGATGGCCTAAGTTCATCTCCTCCATACTACTGTAGGGTTCCATTCCTGGTCTCCTACCCTACCCATACTAGCCTTTACCCTTCAAGGACCACCAGTCTAATCTCCCAGCTCCCACTGGTACAGGATTCAAATAACACAGAAGTCCTCACCTTCCAGGCCCTGATTCTCCAGAAAGCACTGGGTAGCTTGTAGGTCCAGATCTTCAGAATCTGGTCGGGGAGGAATATAAGACAGTTTAAAACAAAAATCATACCTGACACTAAACTCCTTAAATAATCTCTACCTTTCTCTCCCCAACCCCAGCTGTTAGAACCCTGGTTGATTTCAGAGGTCAAGGAAGGAAGGCCAGCACTTACCACCATAGTTGTCTTCAGAGTCCTTGGTCCCACCCACATGTTGTTCTCTCTCCCTTCCTGTGGGGACCTGGGCTCCCTCTCTCTGTGGCTGGGTGGATTCCCCTAGAGTGTCTGTGTCCACCACCAGATCTGTGAGGTTCTCTCTTGAGATAGGGAGGTCCTGCTCCACTTGTGCCACAGGTGGCCCACCCTGGGCCCCCACCTCATGAGCTCTCTCCTGCTTAAGAACAGCTGCAGCCCACTCTGCCCCAGCATCCCCTTCTGCTGGAAGCTGGCTCTTTCTTACATCTGCAACTACTGAGGCTGTTAGGGAGGTGCCCTCCTCTGCATCTGTTTCACAGTCCCCATGCAGAGGCCAGGCTTCCTCTAGAGATACCACAAGCAGCTTTGCTGGTCCCCCAACTGCTTTCACATCTGTTTGATTTGTCCCCTCCACAGACACCTGATGCTTCTTTATATGTATAATGGCTGACCCTGGCGGGACTTCCTTCTCCACTTGTGTGTTGATGTCCACTGTGGTGGAGGCTTGGCTTCTCTCCAGGTGGATCCCAGGTGAGCTCTTATCTGCTTCCACACTGTCATCACTGTCCCCAAAAGGAGGTTGGTCCTTTTCTGAATGTGCTCTAACAAGGGCTCTAATCTTTGTGTGATCCTTGAGGACAGCTTCTCTATTTTCCACTGGGAGCTCTTCCTCCTCCACGTCTGTGTCACTGTCTCTCTCAGTGGTGGTTTGGCTTCGCTGCAGAAGGACCACACGTTGGGGCATGTCCTCTTCTGCATCTCTGTTCCATATAGCAGGCTGGCTCTCTTTCAGATGTGCCAAAGTCAGCGCTGCTGAGACTTCTTCCTCGTCATCTGTATCGCTGTTGATAACCATGGAAGCTTGGCTTTTCTCCAGAGGGACAGCCTGTGGGGCCTTGCCTTCTTCCACATCTGTATCACTACCAGCCTGGCTCTCCTGCAGATGGGCCAGGCCTGGTGCTCCAGGACCCCTTGTACCTACTCCATGGAAGATCTTCCTCTTCTTCATAGGAATGACAACTGGGGTTGCTGGGATCCTCTCTTCTTCCGCATCAGTGTCGCTGTCGATGAAGCCAAAAGGCTGAGCCCTTTCCAAATGGACCTCAGCTGGCCTTCCAGGAGGCCTGCTGTCATCATCCACATCTGTGTCACTGTCCTCTCCAGGAGGTTGGCTCCTCTCCAGAATCACCCCAGCTGGAACCACCCCATTCCCTGCACCCCTCTTGACTTTTGTATCATTGTCCCTCTCCTTCACTAAAGGCTGATCCTTTTCAAGCTGGATTTCAGTTACAACTTCAGCTTCAGACTGCTTTGCCTCTACAGTGGCACCTCTTCTGGCAGCTGAGGAGGCCTCCTCTGTGGCTGGTTGCTGACCTTCTTCCACATCTGTGTCACTGTTCAAATTGAAGGCAAAAGGCGGCCCAAGGCCGCCCAGGACCGGGGAATGCCCCTCTTCATCACTGTGAAGGGAAGAAAAGAGAGTCTATAGAATTTATTTCCCTGGAAGGGATACCCCAACTCAACTGTGAGCTCCTTGAGGGGAGACACAAGGTAGCATATTTCTTCTTCTGTTTCCAATTTGTTTTCCACTTGGCACATCAGATGTGCTCCATAAAAATTCAGCTGAGTGAATGAATATGTATGGTTCCCCAGCCCCAACTCTCATGATAATCATCTCTTTTAGAGATTGATCCTCCAGCCCCTGGTTCTTCCTCATTTTGAAGACTCAGGTGTCTGACTCTTTGGCACTCACCTCTCTGGAACTATCACAGAGGAAGATGTGGTCCTTGATTTTTTTACCATACGCCTTTCAGAAAGAAAATCTGTCAAGAACAGAAAGGAATGAGTTGACAATTGTACACTCATTATTCCTGTCTCCTCATTCTCCCTGCCAATATACAAACTTACCTACTTCCTCCTCCGAGTCCTCAGCCAACAGAAGCCTCTGGGGTTGAGTTTCTCCCTGTACTCTGGGTGTCTCTTCTACTGTCAGAGGGCCCCGGGAGACAAAGGGCAGAGAGACATCCAGGCGATGGTACTGGCAGAGCAAGTCAGCAAAGAGAATCAATTCCTGGTCCCTCAGACGGTGACTCACCCCAGGGCTCAAAACCTTAGGAGGTCTCAGGATTTGAGTACCATTAAGGCTCCCACAGTCTCGGAGGATAGGTGCCTTGTCCCAGGCTAAGATTTCAATCTCTGCATGTTGTTTGGAGATAGATGGAAAGGGCAGGGCCACAGAGCAGTCAGGCATTCGGCCTACCACATTCTTCCCGAGGTGTAGTGGGAAATCTAAGAATTAGAGAGGTAGATAAGCTCCAAGATCAGAGTCCTGGCCTGTCATTAGGAAAAAGTGCCTATTAGGTACTCTACTACTCACTCAAGGCCTCCATATGCATTAGAAAAATAAAAGGCCCTAGGACATCTAGGCACTGAAAGAGTATATGCGATACCCCATCCATCCACAATGGATGTTTTTTTACTGTTATAAAATACACATAACACAAAATGTATCACCTTAATAATTTTAAGTGTATAGTTCAGTGGCATTAAGTGCATTCACACTGTTGTGCAATCATCACTACCATCCATCTCCAGAGCACACAATTGGATTTTATTTGATTTTTTTTTTTTTTTTGAGACAGGGTCTCATTCTGTCACCCAGGCTAGAATGCAGTGTCATGATCATAGATCAGTGCAATCTTGAACTCTTGGGTTCAAGTGATCATCTGGCTCAGCCTCCCAAGTAGGTGGGACTGCAGATGTGAAATGAACCACCACACCTGGCTAATTTTTAAATTTTTCGTAGAGACAGGGTTTTGCTATGCTACCCAGGCTGGTCTCTAACTCCTAGTCTCAAGTGATCCTTCTGCCTTGGCCTCTCAAAGCACGGGAATTACAGGTGTGAGTCACTGCACCCAGCTTCATTTCAATCTCTTAATTTTCTTTTATCAAAGTAAAATCACTTCCAGTGAGTCCAGGGTAGTAGTCTGCAACTATCAACTCAATCGGCCCCATCTCTTCCATTCATGAAAAAAAAAAATTCACATCTCATTGAAACATACATAAGCTTCTTGCAACCCTCCAAATACCTTACCACAAAAATAAAAGATCTATATCAATACTTGAACATCCAATACCCTCTGACCTTTTTCTGGTCCATGGGCACCACTAAAGATATGTAGCCGCCCTACTGGCTCCACGTTACACCTCAAGGATTCACTGGATTGCTCTGTCTCCTCCTCTTCTTCAACATCCCAGTCAATAGCCTGGGTGTCCTCCATGATCTGGGAAGGATACACATTATCAATTATCCTCATTATTGGTTCACACAAACAGCATCAGAGTTATCAGACTGAAAACTAGGGGGTAAACTGGATCATTATGAACGTTGATGCTTCTCTTTCCACCAATCTTTCTGTTGTTAACCTTCTGAAGCACTTAAAACATTTTTTTCTTTTTTGTGATGGAGTCTCGTTCTGCTCCCCAGGCTGGCATGCAGTGGTAAGATCTTGGGCCCACGGCAACCTCTGCCTCCCGGGTTTCAAGCAATTCTCTCACCTCAGCCTCCCAAGTAGCTGAGATTACAGGCACCTGCCACCATGCCTGGCTAATTTTTGTATTTTTAGAAGAGATGGGGTTTTGCCATATTGGCCAGGGTGGACTCGAACTCTTGACCTTGGGTGATCCGCCCACCTTGGCCTCCCAAAGTGCTGGGATTACAGGCGTGAGCCACTGCGCCCCGTTGTTTTTCTTTCTTTTTTAGCCCATGCTTTTTATACTTTTACCAGACCACCTCAGTTTGATCAGATGCAACTGCAAAAAATGATAATAAAAGATGACATATATAGAAGCTTCCTATGTGTCAAGCACTGTTCTAATTACTTTATATCGACTCTGACTCATTTAATCTTCACAAGAACCTTGTAAAGTAGTATTACTATCTTCCATTTCTTCAGATAAAGAAACTGCAACATAGCTGGGTTAAGATTTTCAGATCTCCTTGAAACATACATAAGCATATATAAGGTTAAGACTTGCCCCAAATCACTCAGATGTCTCTCCTCTAAAATCTTGATGGTTTTTCGTGCACACAGAATAAAATCTAAACTCCTTAGCGAGACCCTCCATGATCTGAACTTCACATCTTGTAACGCCTACCCCTCGCCCGCAAAAGCCTATGGTTCAGCCAGACATTTTCCCCAGTCTTCGAACACACTGTTCTTGTCTTCCCACATCTTCATGCCTTAGCCCAATTCCTTGGCTTTTTCCCACCTAGTTTTCTGGTCCAACTTCTACCATCCTTTAAGATTCAGTTCAAATGTCACTTTCTTTCTTTTTTTTTTTTTTGAGATGGAATCTCGCTCTGTCGTCCAGGCTGGACTGCAGTGGTGCTATCTTGGCTCACTGCAACCTCTGCCTCCAGGCTTCAAGCGATTCTCCTGCCTCAGCCTCCCGAGCAGCTGGGATTACAGGCGCCCGGCATCACGCCTGGCTAATTTTTGTATTTTTAGTAGAGACGGGGTTTCACCACGGTCTCGAGCTCCTGACCTCAGGTGATCCGCCCACCTTGGCCACCCAAAGTGTTGGGATTACAGCAGTGAGCAACCGCGCCCGGCCTCAAATGTCACTTTCTCAGCAAACCCTTTCCTGGCGTGTTCCCTGCCTTCTCGTGTTCCTGGTGTATCCTGCCTGTTCCACAGTGGTCAATGGATTTGTGCTTACTCTAAGATCTCTCGCTATATTGTAACCATTACTTTCCATTTCTGCCTTCACACTCACCCACCTCCAGGACTGGATTAGGGGAACCGTGTCTTTCCCCTAGGGTCCATCATATTCATTCAATGGTTATGGTATACCTGTTTGAAGTATTTGGTATACATCTGTGAACCAAACATGAAATCGACCCTGCCCTCGGGAAGGCTCATCACCGAGCCTACTGATGAAGGAACAAATGAGATGGAAAGAAAATAGCATAAATGGAATTCACCTGAAAATATGCCACTCTAGAGGGAAACTGTTGACAGGTAGGGAAAGTAGGATGCCCCATGGATAAAGTGTCAACTCCGTCTTTATGACAGGCCAACTCAGCGGGTGCCCACCACGCTTGGCTCCAATTCAAAGAGCCACCATCTTTGGTCCCCACCTCAGTGGGTTCCCTTGTGGCCCGACGTCTCCCTGTGTCTTCATACCTAAACTCGGAGCGGGGCGCCAGGTAAGGATGAGTATTACAGTCCGAGAAGCGAACTTCCAAGTCACCTCCGCCCAGTCGCACCCAAGGTACGCCCCTCCCGCCTTCTGGGGGAACCAAGATGGCTCCCGGGGAGCCGTGGGCCAGGCCCCTAGAACTCACCTACTTTAAGTCCCCGCGCGCGCCACCAGTAACGGTCGCGACCCGGGTGGAGCGACTGCGTGTGCCGAAAAAGAGCTTATTTGCTGATTGGCTTCTGCCGCTGTCTTTCACAACCGCAGCCAGTCGAGCGGAGGCACACCCAAAGCCCCGCCCCCTTAGAGTTCAAATAGGTGGTGTCTCCCAGGCTGCTGAGATCAGTTAATGAGACGGTAATTGAAGGCCGCCGTGCGCCAACAGAATAATGCACGTCGATTGGGCAGCTCCAAGGGACAACCCACTACCGCTTGCCCGCCCACCACCCACTTCCCGCGCAGTTCCAAACCGCGACCAGAGAGTCTGGCGCCAGCTGCCGGCAACGGATAGAGGGGCTGTGTCATAGACGTCCGACGTGTCTGGTAAGGCCAGAGCGCCTTTCCTCGGTCCTCCTAGACATGGTGTCCGCTGACTCATGAGAAATGAAAGTGGGTTGCGCGTTGCAGTCGTGGCTGGAGGCTGCAGTTTGGAGAACAGCCCGTAGGCGTGGCAGTTCACTCCTGTTGCATTGGAATTTCATTTCCTTTTGATTTGGTTTGTAGTAGAAGTAATATCTTTCTTCCTGGGAATACGTCTCTGACGGACATTTTGAGGTCATTTTCTTAAATCCAAGATCCTAAAGATCTGTAGTCGAACAGAGAAAACTGGTTTGCTCTCTGTCTTAAAGGCTGTCCCCACCTTTCGAGGGGCGAGGGAAGGATCATAAAATCATTTATTTTTATTTTTTAATTAACTAATTTATCTATTTTTTGAGATGGAGTTTTGCTCTTGTTGCCCAGGCTGGAGTGCAATGGCGCGATCTCGACTCACCGCAACCTCTGCCTCCCAGGTTCAAGCGATTCTCCTGCCTCAACCTCCCAAGTAGCTGGGATTACAGGCATGCGCCACCACGCCCAGCTTATTTTTGTATTTTTAGTAGAGACGTGGTTTCTCCATGTTGGTCAGGCTGGTCTCGAACTTCTGACCTCAGGTGATCCGCCCGCCTCGGCCTCTCAAAGTGGTGGGATTACAGGCGTAAACCACCGCATGCGGCCATCTATATTTTATTTTTTGAGACGGACTTTCGCTCTTGTTGCCTAGGCTGGAGTGCAATGGCGCGATCTCGACTCACCGCAACCTCCGCCTTCTGGGTTCAAGCAATTCTCCTGTCTCAGCCTCCCGAGTAGCTGGGATTACAGGCATGCGCTACCACGCCCGGCTAATTTTGTATTTTTAGTAGAGACGGGGTTTCTCCATGTTGGTCAGTCTGGTCTCAAACTCCGGACCTCAGGTGATTCTCCCGCCTGGGCCTCCCAATGTGCTGGGATTACAGGCGTAAGCCACTGCGCCCGGCCTATTTTATCTCACAATAAGACATGAAGAAAATGGTAACTATAACACTTGCATAATTCATAAAGTCCTTTCTGTTGGTTATCTCAATTCTGTGCACAACAGTCAAATAAGCAGATTTTACAAACGAGGAGCTGGAGCCCTGCAAAGTTAAAGGACTTTCCTAGGATCCTACAGCTAATATAGAGACAAATTGAAACAAGTTATCTGATTGTGTATTTTGAGTTATTTCTACTCCCACAAAATGACTGTGTTCATTTCCCTAAAACGTAAAGCATTATATTTTAAGTGGGTAGAGAGGGCTTACACAAGTTGATGTTCCCTCATTTAGAAGGCAACTTAGAAATACATTGATCTGCCCAGCGCGGTGGCTCACGCCTGTAATCCCAGCACTTTGGGAGGCAAAGGCGGGCGAATCACGAGGTGAGGAGATCGAGACCATCCTGGCTAACACAGTGAAACCCTGTCTCTACTAAAAATACAAAAAAAAAAAAAAGAAATACATTGATCTGTGTGATCGAATGTGAATTAACAATGACGTTGACTTGATACTACATTTCTGAGTGGTTACCACATTTTATTGATTGTATGCTTCTCACCAGACTGCAACATCCTGGAGGACAGGGAGCTAATTCTTAATCATTTTGTAACCATAGCTCCTAATTTGGTGGATACATAGTAACTATCAAATAAGTGAATAATAAATCTATGGGAAGAAGCAGATGGACTCCGTCTTGAACCCACTCAATTTTTCCCCCATCAATTACCCCTCTCTCGTTTTTCAATACTGGGTCTCTTGCAGAGTTGCAGTGGCGGCCACCTGGTCAGTGAAATCAGCGAATTGAAAAACCACTGACTTCATTAACATGTCTAAAGAGGCAGGCTGAAAAAACTGAAAATCTATCAGGCATCTCATTCCATAGTTCCCTGTTTGACAAGAAGACCAAGGTGTCTTCAAAGTCTGCCCTAAGGTCCAGATCTCCTACCCACGTAGGAGACTTCTAGTTTCACAAATCCCCGATGTCGGTTTCTCTAAACTATTTTATTCTTTGAACATACTCTCCAGACAACATCGCTATCCTGAAAAGCCCTTGCTGCAATTTTGTTTCTCTTTCAAAACAATGGCTCGAAAATTTCCAAGGAAATAGCAAGAGGGCGATTCCCTTCTTGAAGTATTTGAGGGAGCAGAAGCTTACTGAAGTTCATGCCTTGGGTCACCAAAGGCCAGGGGAGGCAGAGCACGGTGCCAGACTTCTCCCCATTTTTCGCTGAACTAAGCAATCCTTTCTCCCCTAGAGGTACTGCAGCTGGGAGCTTTCAGGGCGTGTCTTCCCCACCACCCAACTTCTGGAACCCCAGACTTCTCAATTCCTGTACCCCCAAGAACTGCTCACTTTTTGTACAAAAACCTCAGGCATAGAGGAAAGGAATCTTGCGCAAGGTCGTTTTTCATTTACAAAACAAAAACCCCATGAAAACCAAACCGGTACCCACCCATTCGTCACTTCATTTTGCAGCATGGACAACAATAGGGGACTACAACTCCCAAAGAGGACTGCGCTCGTCCACTGGCTCAGAGGCCAATGGACGCCTGGTACATGACCGGCATCGACTAATCAGGGCCAGGCTCGATGAGGCTTTGTCTCCCTACCGCGCGCGGGGCCGATTCTCCCGCCTCCCAGCCCCGGCGCACGCGCGCCCCGCCCAGCCTGCTTTCCCTCCGCGCCCTCCCCTCTCCTTTCTCCCTCTCAGAACCTTCCTGCCGTCGCGTTTGCACCTCGCTGCTCCAGCCTCTGGGGCGCATTCCAACCTTCCAGCCTGCGACCTGCGGAGAAAAAAAATTACTTATTTTCTTGCCCCATACATACCTTGAGGCGAGCAAAAAAATTAAATTTTAACCATGAGGGAAATCGTGCACATCCAGGCTGGTCAGTGTGGCAACCAGATCGGTGCCAAGGTAAGAATTTTACACCTCTTTTATTTCTTTTTACAAGGAAAAATCCAGGTAAGTTATGAAAAAATGGTTGTGGGGCATTTGCACCCGCTATCCTTAATCAAGATTTGCCCCTCTCAAGTTTGTTACATTTATATATATAACAATTGTAGCTAGCATTTGCCTTTGGAAAGCTGGGAATCATTTTTCTTGGCAGGCACATTTTGGAGAAACTAGTAAAAGGGCTCTTCGGGTTTGGGGGCGGGAAGACCGAGGACTTATAAGATGTTACTTAAAAGGGCTTCTAACGGTCCGAGAACCGGGCAGGGAGAGAGATGCGGAAACGGTCGCAGACAAAGCGGGGCGAGGTTTTGCCCATGTGCATCCCGCCCAACCCCCCTGCGGGGTACTTAGGGCCAAACCGGAGCGGGAAGGGGTGAGGCCATCGGGCGGCTGCAGAGAGCTCCAGCGCAAGGGTGGGGGGCGATGCGCCAGGGTGGGCTGCGCTGGGCGCTACCTTTCACAAAAGACCAGGGACCCCAACGCGCCCGCGACCCCAGAGGGCCGGTCCTGTATTTGTTCCTGGGTGGAAGGAGAATAAGAACGGGATTAATTTTACTTGCTTTCATGGCCCCTAAGAGAGACTTTTTTAGGGCGTGAACAGATATGTCGAGAAAATGGGGGTGTGTGGTTTTCTTTAATGAGTCCCTCAGGACTTAATGGGAGAGAAAGAATCCTTTAAATCAAGGGGTAGAAATGTAGCGAAGGAATAAAAATTCCGAGGCCAAGGGGGATTTTTTTTTTTTGCGCGCGGTTACAGTGTAGCGGGGGAGGGGCGGGAGGAAGTGCGGCTGCTACGTTGTAGCAGAAGGGCGGGGCCCTGCGGGGCGGGGCCGGGGCGCCGTGGGCGCGCGGGGACAATGCGGCGTTGCCCGCCGGCAGGGGCGCGCTACCTTGGGCCCCGCCCCTCGCGCGCGGAATTTTTGTCCCTGGCCCCGCCCACGCGCGAAGTCTTTTGTCGGCGGCTCGACCTGCGCGTGCGCCGCAGTCACGTGGAGGGCGGGGGGGGTGGTCGACTGCGGCGGCAGCTCTTTCCTCAGACCCCCAGCCTTTTGTGCGCCGCGCGGTGGGGCGGTGCCCAGCTTGGGGGAAGGAGAGCGGCGCTTATCGAAGTGTGGTCGACCTCCATCCGCCCACCGAGCACTTGGGACCCGCTGCACATATCCAGAGCAGGGAAAGCTGTGGCTTTCTCGGGGGAGCGAGTGTCTAGGGGAAGGGTGTGGCAGGCCCACGGGATGCCATGCCCTAGAACAACGGCCTGAGCGCTTGTGGAATTAAAATGGGAGATGTGGGGCCGAGGTGGGCGAATTGGGATCCCTCCAGGTCAGGGGTTCGAGACCATCCTGGGCAACAAAGCGAGACCCTCCCCCATGCCACGTTTCTACAAAAAATAAAAGTAAAAAATTAGCTGGGCGTGGTGGCGCGCGTCTGTGGTCCCAGCTACTCGAGAGGCTGAGATGGGAGGATCGGTTGAGCCTGGGAGTTCCACGCTGTAGTCATCCGTGATTGCACCACTGCACTGCAGGCTGGGCAACAGGAAGACCCTGTCTTAAAAATTAGAAGAAGCTGGGCGCGGTGGCTCACCCTTGTAATCCCAGCACTTTGGGAGGCCAAGGTGGGCGGATCACGAGGTCAAGAGATCTAGACCATCCTGGCCAACATGGTGAAACCCGTCTCTACTAAAAATACAAAAAGTAGCTGGGCGTGTTGGTGCGCGCCTATAGTCCCAGCTACTCCGGGGGCTGAGGCAGGAGAATCGCTTGAACCCGGGAAGCAGAGGTTGCAGTGAGCCGAGATAGCGCCACTGCACTCCAGCCTGGTGACAGAGCGAGACTCCGTCTCAAAAAAAATTAAGAAAAAGATGAAATAAAATGGTAGTTGGGGACATAGTTGGCTGGGACTTGACCTGTTGTGGTCTCGTTGCTCCCCCTCGGCAGTTCTGGGAGGTGATCAGTGATGAACATGGCATCGACCCCACCGGCACCTACCACGGGGACAGCGACCTGCAGCTGGACCGCATCTCTGTGTACTACAATGAAGCCACAGGTAAGGGCAGGAGCCCGGGCAGCTCAGGTTCCCTTCCCTGTCTCCCACTTATCTGGGATCTCTTTCCATTTCTGGGCACGCCTTATCCCCTTTGGGTGAATCTGTCATTTTGTCCCTTTCGTGAACCACCGTCGGGGCCAAAGACGTCTGCTGCCACCTGGTGGCGGGACCTGGAATGACAAGTCTCTGATCCCTGCTGTCTCCCATTTCCAGTATATCTATAAACCTTCCCTTCTGCCAGATTTCACAGCTCTTAACTTTATTCTCTGTAGGTGGCAAATATGTTCCTCGTGCCATCCTGGTGGATCTAGAACCTGGGACCATGGACTCTGTTCGCTCAGGTCCTTTTGGCCAGATCTTTAGACCAGACAACTTTGTATTTGGTGAGTTATACAGATGATATTAGCAGATGATATACCATCGTGTTCAACTTATTTGGGTGCAAGGACACAGCAAAAGTTAGGAGATGATTGTTGTATTGGAGTGCTAATACAGAAATGTGTTCTGAAATCTAACGGAGGGTAGAGGTAGTGCCTACTATTGCTGGTAAATTATGGGGCAGTAGGGGGAGAATATATCACAGTGAAGGAGAAAGAAGATACATCCGAGGGAATTATTTGAAAAGTTGAAAGATGGAAACATCATGTATCTTCCATACCCTGTTAATTGAGCTTTTCTCCTGACTGCATTCCAGGTCAGTCTGGGGCAGGTAACAACTGGGCCAAAGGCCACTACACAGAGGGCGCCGAGCTGGTTGATTCTGTCCTGGATGTGGTACGGAAGGAGGCAGAGAGCTGTGACTGCCTGCAGGGCTTCCAGCTGACCCACTCACTGGGCGGGGGCACAGGCTCTGGAATGGGCACTCTCCTTATCAGCAAGATCCGAGAAGAATACCCTGATCGCATCATGAATACCTTCAGTGTGGTGCCTTCACCCAAAGTGTCTGACACCGTGGTCGAGCCCTACAATGCCACCCTCTCCGTCCATCAGTTGGTAGAGAATACTGATGAGACCTATTGCATTGACAACGAGGCCCTCTATGATATCTGCTTCCGCACTCTGAAGCTGACCACACCAACCTACGGGGATCTGAACCACCTTGTCTCAGCCACCATGAGTGGTGTCACCACCTGCCTCCGTTTCCCTGGCCAGCTCAATGCTGACCTCCGCAAGTTGGCAGTCAACATGGTCCCCTTCCCACGTCTCCATTTCTTTATGCCTGGCTTTGCCCCTCTCACCAGCCGTGGAAGCCAGCAGTATCGAGCTCTCACAGTGCCGGAACTCACCCAGCAGGTCTTCGATGCCAAGAACATGATGGCTGCCTGTGACCCCCGCCACGGCCGATACCTCACCGTGGCTGCTGTCTTCCGTGGTCGGATGTCCATGAAGGAGGTCGATGAGCAGATGCTTAACGTGCAGAACAAGAACAGCAGCTACTTTGTGGAATGGATCCCCAACAATGTCAAGACAGCCGTCTGTGACATCCCACCTCGTGGCCTCAAGATGGCAGTCACCTTCATTGGCAATAGCACAGCCATCCAGGAGCTCTTCAAGCGCATCTCGGAGCAGTTCACTGCCATGTTCCGCCGGAAGGCCTTCCTCCACTGGTACACAGGCGAGGGCATGGACGAGATGGAGTTCACCGAGGCTGAGAGCAACATGAACGACCTCGTCTCTGAGTATCAGCAGTACCAGGATGCCACCGCAGAAGAGGAGGAGGATTTCGGTGAGGAGGCCGAAGAGGAGGCCTAAGGCAGAGCCCCCATCACCTCAGGCTTCTCAGTTCCCTTAGCCGTCTTACTCAACTGCCCCTTTCCTCTCCCTCAGAATTTGTGTTTGCTGCCTCTATCTTGTTTTTTGTTTTTTCTTCTGGGGGGGGTCTAGAACAGTGCCTGGCACATAGTAGGCGCTCAATAAATACTTGTTTGTTGAATGTCTCCTCTCTCTTTCCACTCTGGGAAACCTAGGTTTCTGCCATTCTGGGTGACCCTGTATTTCTTTCTGGTGCCCATTCCATTTGTCCAGTTAATACTTCCTCTTAAAAATCTCCAAGAAGCTGGGTCTCCAGATCCCATTTAGAACCAACCAGGTGCTGAAAACACATGTAGATAATGGCCATCATCCTAAGCCCAAAGTAGAAAATGGTAGAAGGTAGTGGGTAGAAGTCACTATATAAGGAAGGGGATGGGATTTTCCATTCTAAAAGTTTTGGAGAGGGAAATCCAGGCTATTAAAGTCACTAAATTTCTAAGTATGTCCATTTCCCATCTCAGCTTCAAGGGAGGTGTCAGCAGTATTATCTCCACTTTCAATCTCCCTCCAAGCTCTACTCTGGAGGAGTCTGTCCCACTCTGTCAAGTGGAATCCTTCCCTTTCCAACTCTACCTCCCTCACTCAGCTCCTTTCCCCTGATCAGAGAAAGGGATCAAGGGGGTTGGGAGGGGGGAAAGAGACCAGCCTTGGTCCCTAAGCCTCCAGAAACGTCTTCTTAATCCCCACCTTTTCTTACTCCCAAAAAAGAATGAACACCCCTGACTCTGGAGTGGTGTATACTGCCACATCAGTGTTTGAGTCAGTCCCCAGAGGAGAGGGGAACCCTCCTCCATCTTTTTTGCAACATCTCATTTCTTCCTTTTGCTGTTGCTTCCCCCCTCACACACTTGGTTTTGTTCTATCCTACATTTGAGATTTCTATTTTATGTTGAACTTGCTGCTTTTTTTCATATTGAAAAGATGACATCGCCCCAAGAGCCAAAAATAAATGGGAATTGAAAAAAGCTGCGAGATGTGTGCTTATTTAGGGAAACACGGCTGGCTGATGGAGGCATGGGGCCTGAGTTCAGTTGCACTGCTCTCCTTAAATTGACACTTAATATTGAGTCCCTGTCCTACGGATTCAACCAACTGGATATTGGGAAAAGAGTTGTACTGGACATGTATAGACTTCTCATTATTCCCTAAACAATAATAGTATAAATTATTTACATAATATTTGCATTAGATTAGGTATTACAAGTAACGTAGAGATGATTTGAAGTACACAGGTTATATGCAAGTACTACATTTTATATGAGGGACTTGGGTGTCTGCCGATTTGGTATCTCAGGGAGGTACTGGTAAGGACACTGACTGCTTTATAGACCCTCACATCATTGTTTCTGGTACCCAAACTGCTCTGAGCACCAGTCAGTCTTTACTGTAGTCTCTGACAGCTCACTACAGCCTTGATGTCCTGGGCTCAAACAATCCATCTCATTCTCCCAAGCAGCTGGGACTGTAGGCATAAGCCAGGTGAGCCAGTGCACCAGGCCCACCAATGAGTCTTAACTGGGGAAGGCATAGGCTTAGATGCAGGATCCAGGGATGGAAAATGGAAGCTGAGAAGAATGACAAATCACGTGTAACTGGTTTCCAGACCAGCATCCACATCCTCTGGGAACTTGCAGAAATAAATGCAAGTTTTTCATCCCACCCAGATGTACTGAACCATAAATGGTTGAACTGGCCTTGGCCACCCAGCCCAGGATTCCTTTGGGTTATGTGTACCCATGGCCATTTCCTGTGATCCTGTGGGCTTAGTCAACCTATGACACCAAGATAACTAGTGAAGCCCTGGTATGGTGGCTCCCACTTGTAATCCCAGCACTCTGGGGGGCCGAGGCAGGAGGATGGCTTGAGCCCAGGAGTTCCACACCAGCCTGGGCAGCAGTGAACCATCTAACAAAAAAAAAAGCTGGGCATGGTGGTGCATGCCTGTAGTCCCAGCTGCTGGGGTAGAGGGGGGTGGTGGTTGTTGGGGGTAGGGGGGTGGGGATTGGATGGGAGGATTGCCTGAGCCTGGGAGGTAGAGGCTGCAATGAGCCCTGACCCTACCCCTGCACCCCAGCCTGGGTGACAGAGCAAGACCTTGTCTTTTTTTTTCTTTTTTCTTGAGATGGAGTCTTGCTATGTTGCCCAGGTTGGAGCACATTGGCGCGATCTTGGCTCGCTACAACCTCTGCCTCCCGGGTTCAAGGAATTCTGCCTCAGCTTCCCAAGTAGCTGGGATTACAGGCACCCACCATCACGCCGGGCTAATTTTTGTATTTTAGTAGAGATGGGGTTTCACCACGTTGGCCAGGACTGGTCTCAAACTCCTGACCTCAAGTGATCCACCCGTCTCAGCCTCCCAAAAAGTTCTGGGACTACAAGCATGAGCCACCGTGCCCGGCCCAAGCCCAAGACCTTGTCTTTAAAAAAAAAAAAGGATAACTAGGCGGGATTGCTACCTTATGGTCCCATTCTAAAACAATCTGTACCATCTACTACCTCATACTTTTAAGTTCACAATGCAAGTCTCAAAGCTACCCTGAAAACAATAATTCCTTTTGCCATGTTTTCAGGAATTCTAGGAACTAGTATTATTCCCAACATTCCTTCTATTTTAGCATGCTTTTCTGACTATAATACACTGTTGGGGGGAAAAATTAACTCTAAAACTCTTGACAGTATATAAGTAACTTGCTTTTCTCCCATTCTAGAAAGCCTATTGTATGCAAGAAAGCCTATTGTATGCAAGGGAAGAAGCTACATTCTAGCATTCATTTTCTTTCTAATAGAGCCAGGATCTTGCTTTGTCACCCAGGCTGGAATGCAGTGGTGTGATCATGGCTCACTACAGCCTTAGACTCCTGAGCTCAAGTGATCCTCCCACCTTAGCCTCCCAAGTAGCTAGGACTATAGGCAAGAGTCACCATACCTGAGTCTAGCATTCATTTTTTTTCTCTTTTTTTTTGAAACAGTCTCACTCTGTCACCTAGGCTAGAGTGCAGTGGTGCGATCTTGGCTCACTGCAACCTCTGCTTCCCAGGTTCAAGTAATTCTCCTGCCTCAGCCTCCCAAGTAGCTGGGACTACTACTTGGCATGTTTCACCCTGCCTGGCTAATTTTTGTATTTTTGGTAGAGACAAGGTTTCGTCATGTTGGCCAGGCTGGTCTTGAACTCCTGACCTCAGATGATCTGCCTGCCTTGGCCTCCCAAAGTGCTGGGATTACAGGCATGAGCCACTGTGCCGGGCCAAGCATTAATTTCCAGTTGCTTCTGTTTTATTAGTACTTACTTACAGCAATTTATTTGGGTAGCAAAGTTGAAAACCTCCAGCCCATCCCTCAGTCTTGGTCAGGAAAATATTCTAGACAACAGGCTCAAACAGTCTGATTTAATTAGGAAGTTAAATAAGTTGAGGTGGGGTGGAGTGGGATCATCAGAAGGCTGACATGGGACCGCTGGAGTTGGCAATCATAGCAGTGTGAGGTTGGCAAGGGGAGCAACCCCCTTCAAGACAAGGCACAAACTATTTGGCAAGGAGAGATGAGGGGTGGGACCTCACTGTCAATGGACATGCTCAGGGAGGCCAGTGGGTTACATGCAACAGGAGGATCATTCAGGCAACTTCAGCTATGAGGCTGGGCATCTGTGAGGGCTGAAGGCTCAGGCTGTTCTCAAAGGCTTGTGATTCACCTGGCAAAAAGACAACAGTAGATGACACTTGGGAACATTCGGGAGGCTGAGGCCCCTACTCTCCCGGGCCCCAGTTTAGACGAATGGGCTATAGGCAGAACACACACGGCCAGGGTTCTTTCTGGTGCCCTACCACCTGTTTCCCCAAACAAAGACATCAGGACCCACATACAATAAATCACTGAAGAGAGGAGAGGGGGCAGAGCCTTGTTTGCACACTCTCCTTAGCTCTGAATATTCTACTGCAGGCCTCCAGGAGGCTCCAAGGAACCCAGCTTGAAGGTCATTGGTATGATCCAGTGCTTTTATTTACATACGCTTTTTTTTTTTCTTTTTTTTTTTGAGACGGAATCTCACTCTATCACCCAGGCTAGAATGCAGTGGTGCGATCTTGGCTTACTGCAGCCTCCGCCTCCTGAGTTCAAGTGATTCTCCTGCCTCAGCCTCCCGAGTAGCTGGGATTACAGGTATGCGCCACCATACCCAGCTAATTTTTGTATTTTTGGTAGAGATGGGGTATCACCATGTTGGCCAGGGTGATCTCAAACTTCTGACCTCAGCTGATCGTCCACCCTGGCCTCCCAAAGTTCTGGGATTACAAGTGTGAGCCACAGCACCCAGCCCGAATATGCATTTCTTTCTCTTTTTTTTTTTGAGACAGAGTCTTGCTCTGTTGCCTAGGATGGAGTGCAGTGGTGCTATCTCGGCTCACTGCAAGCTCTGCCTCCCAGGTTCACACCATTCTCCTGCCTCAGCCTCCCCAGCAGCTGGGACTACAGGCACACACCGCCACGCCCGGCTGTTTTGTATTTTTAGTAGAGACGGGGTTTCACTGTGTTAGCCAGGATGGTCTCAATCTCCTGACCTCGTGATCCGCCCGCCTCAGCCTCCCAAAGTGCTGGGATTACAGGCATGAGCTACCGCGCCTGGAATTTTTTTTTTTTTTTGAGATAGAGTCTTATTCTGTCACCCAGGCTGGAGTGCAGTGGTGTGATCTCAGCTCACTGCAACCTTCGGCTCCTGGGTTCCAGCAATTCTCCTGCCTCAGCTTCCCGAGTAGCTGAGATTACAGGCATGCACCACCAAGCCTGGCTAATTTTTTTTTGTATTTTTAGTAAAGATGGTGTTTCACCATGTTGGCCAGGCTGGTCTCCAACTCCTAACCTCAGGTGATCTGCCTGCCTCAGCCTCCCAAAGTGCTGGGATTACAGGCGTAAGCCACTGCACCTGGCCCCATTTCTTTAACATACACATAATGCTTACTATATACCAGGCACTATTCTAAACACTGCAAATATTTGCTCGAGCCCCTCAACAATTCAACAGGGTAGTTTCTAATTATTAACCCAATTTTAAGATGAGGAAACAGGTATAGAGAGGTTGATTACTTGTCCAAGATTACAGCTAGCAGGCATTGTAGCTAGGATTCGCAACAAAACAGTGGTTCCAGAGCCTGTTTGCTGACTTCTACCATGATCTACAGGTGAATTAACTGGGGCGCTGAGAAAAGCAGTGATATGCCCTAGAATTAATTAACTGTCAATAGGCTGCAACTAGTTCCCTATACTAGTGGGGTGACCACAAGCACAGGTTGCAGAGACAGTCGACCTGGATTTCACTCCAGCTGCACTAGCAGAATGAGTAGGAACATGCTGGATGTTGAGTTTCTGGACTTTGTAAAATCCTATATACCCTAATGGTAGTTTGATTTAAAACAACTCATTTATGTAGAAGCTTAGCACTGTGTCTGGCACACAGAAAGTGATTAATAAACATCAATGACTCCCAGGCCTGGATGCTGGTTAAATGCTAGGCATACTGTGTCACACAACACAGGAACCTAGCAATTCTCCTCAGCTCCAACCTGAGACCTCACCTGGGAGATGCTCACGCCTGTGAGTCTTTCCACACTCTCTGGCAGGCGAGTTAGAATGTCCAGTACTTCCCCAGTCACTTTGGCTGCCCCCATGGTCCCACTGCCGCTGGACACCAGTGTGATCTTATTGGCTGAAGTCAAGGGACCACTGATCTCCTCTGCCACCTGGCAGGAGAGAGACACCCACTCAGTGCCCATGATCTGACCACATTCCTCATAAAACAACTTACTCTGGGTTTTAAGGTCCTCGTTCCACTGATCATCCTTCCTCACTTTGGTCACTAATAATTCCCACCCCTAATTTAGAGTCCCCCTAGGCTGTTTCTCCCTAAGCCCCTCACTACACCCCACCCCTTAGTCCCTGGTTCTATTTCCTCCTTTCTTGGTGCCCACATGACCTCCAGACCTGGGGCAGCTTCTCTAGCAGCATGTCCAGCTGAGCAGCCTCTTGGTACAGCTGGAAGGCTTCTGCCTTCTTGGCCATCTGCTCAGCCTCGGCTCGGGCTCGGGCCCCTATGGCAAAGGCCTCAGCTTCCCCACGCATCTGAGGGTTAAGGATGCTTGTGAGATTGACGGAAATCATTAAGAACAAGAAATCCCCGATCAAGCAGCAACCCCCACCCTCTCCACAAGCCAGCATGGAACTGCCTCTTAACTCACCCGCACAGACGCGGCTTCTGCCTCCGCCTGCATAATTAGTTGGGACCTGTGGACAGAAGGGAAGTGGAGGGTGGAGCCCAGCAGCCCTTACTCCCAGGAGAAAGGCCCAGTGCTGCAGAGGCAGACGCTCCTGAAACCTGAAATCCATAGGAGTCCAGGTGGTGAAGGCTTCAGCACTCCATCTTGGGGTGCCTAGGTGGCAAGTGAGCTAGGCAGGGTCAGGGAGGGGACATTTACTTCTCTGCCTCGGCTAGGCGCTCCAGCTTGTAGCGCTCCGCTTCCGCTGGCTTCCGCACCCGGGCCTCCAGCTCCTTCTCCCGCCGGGCGATCTCCTGCTCCTGCACTGCCACCTGCTGGGCCCGCTCCACCACCTGCACCTGCACCCGCTGCTCCTCAATCTGCTGCTTAGTCTTGGCCACCTGGGTAGGAGGGTGAAGTCAGGTTCACGCTCTGAGTCAGAGGTGAAGAGCAAGTGCCCGGGAACCAGAGCTCCAGAGTGGGATATAAAAATAGGAGCCGGTGGCCGGGCGCGGTGGCTCACGCCTGTAATCCTAGCGCTTTGGGAGGCCAAGGAGGGTGGATTGCCTGAGTTCAGGAGCTCGAGACCAGCCTGGCCAACATGGTGAAACCCTGTCTCTACTAAAATACAAAAAATTAGCCAGGTGTGGTGGCGAATGCCTGTAGTCCCAGCCACCCGGGAGGCTGAGGCAGGAGAATTGCTTGAACCTGGGAGGCGAAGGTTGCAGTGAGCTGGGATCACGCCACTGCACTCCACCCTGGGCAACAGAGTAAGACTCCATCTCCAAAAAAAAAAAAAAAAAAAAAGGAGCAGGTGCATGAAGGTGGGTTCCCTCCTGTCTGCTTGGCCAGTCCAGTGGAGTCCAGTGTTTCTCTGATGAGCCCCCGTTTAATCTATTTTTCCCACGTGTGCCCCCTTCTAGAGTATAAATACCTTGAGGGCACTGAGCACATGTTGGCTTTCTGCTATCTCCAGTCTTGCTCAAATCCCCCCACTGTTGCTGCGATAACCTTAGTGCTAGCCTAGGCTACTGCAATAGCTGACTTATTTTTTGTGGGGGTGGGGACAGGTGATCTTTTTTGTCTTTTGCACATGGTGCAGATTTAACAGAAAAAAAAGTGAACCACGAGGCTTCTTCCTCATTCTCCAAACCACCTGGGTCCCTTTCCCAGAGAAACCACCAAGACCAGCTTCTTGTGTATCCTTCCAGGGATACTCTGAACATCTACAAGAATGTGTGTATTCATAGAATTCCTCTTATTTAGGCAGATTTCTTTCTTTTTTTTTGAGGCAGTTTCGCTCTATTGCCCAGGCTGGAGTGCAGTGGCACGATCAGCTCAGTGCAACCTTCACCTCCCAGGTTCAAGCTAATCTCTTGCCTCAGCCTCTCAAGTAGCTGGGACTACAGGCATGTGCTACCATGTCTGGCTAATTTTTGTATTTTTTTTAGTAGAGACGGGGTTTCACCATGTTGGCCAGGCTGGTCTCAAACTCCTGATCTCAAGTGATCCATCCGCCTCAGTTTCCCAAAGTGCTGGGATTACAGGCATGAGCCATCGCACCCAGCCTAGATTTCATCTTCTTATTCCTTGCAGTGTGAGGGAATCAGAAGGCTCTTATCAAGATGCTAGTGAGGAGAGGTGCCAGGCAAGGAACACATTTTTTTTTTCTTTTTGAGACATCATCTTACTCTGTCACCCAGGTTCAATGGCGTAATCATGGCTCACTGCAGCCTTGACCTGCCTGGGCTCAGATGATCCTCCCGCCTCCCCCTCTAGAGTAGCTGGGACTACAGGTGTGAACCAGCACACCCGGCTATTTTTTGTACTTTTTGTAGAGACAGGGTTTTCTATGTTGCCCAGGCTGATCTCAAACTCCTGGGCTCACGTGATCCACCTGCCTCGGCTTCCCAAAGTGTTGGGGTTACAGGCATGTGCCATCACACCCAGCCAGAACACATGCCTTCGTTGTCCCATTGCTCAGGCTCAGCCATGCACCATCATCATTGTAGGTCTCATCAATACATGTGATGCTTCCCCTGCCTCCTACCTTCCCCCGGGCCCATCTGTTCACTCCAGAGAGAAGCATAGCTCTGGAGACGGCACTCTGTACTGTCTTTCACCCTAAATTTTCAAACCCGTTCCAAACTGGCCTCGTTGCCCTCTACACCGGTGTGCAGGATCACCTCTCTCCTGTGTCCCTTAGGCAACCATTTGTCTGTTTCTTTTTCCTTCCTGTCTATGCCCACCTTTTGGTGAAACTCAACCTCCAGAAGCTTCCTCAGAAAGAATATAAAGACAATATTTTTTCTGAGGTCTTGCTTTCTCTGAGATTTTTATTCTACCTTTTTTTGAGATGGAATTTCGCTCTTGGCACCCAGGCTGGAGTGCAGTGACGCAGTCTTGGCTCACTGCAATCTCCATCTCCCAGGTTCAAGCAATTCTCCTGCCTCAGCCTCCCATGTATCTGGGATTATAGGTGCCTGCCACCACGCTCAGCTAATTTTTGTGTTTTTAATAGAGATGGGGTTCCACCACATTGGCCAGGCTGGTCTTGAACTCCTTATCTCAGGTGATCCACCTGCTTCGGCTTCCCAAAGTGCTGGGATTACAGGCGTTAGCCACTGCACCCGGCCTCTACCCTTCTATTTTAATACCAGTTAGGCTGAAAGCAGGCTGCTATGTTGGGATTAACTTTCCATCAGAATTCTGAAGGCATTCCTCCATGGTTTTCTAGCTTTTTAAGAAATCTGGGCTTGGGCCAGTCATGGTGGCTCATGCCTGTCATCCCAGCACTTTGGGAGGCTGAGGTGGGCAGATCACCTGAGGTCAGGAGTTCATGACCAGCCTGGTCAACGTGGTGAAACCCCGTCTCTACTAAAAATACAAAAATTAGCCAGCAATGGTGGCACATACCTGTAGTCCCAGCTACTTGGGAAGCTGAGGTAGGAGAATCGCTTGAACCCAGGAGGCAGAGGTTGCAGTAGCTGAGATCACGCCATTGCACTCCAGCCTGGGTGACAAGAGCAAAAATCCATCTCAAAAAAAAAAAAAAAGAAAAGAAAGCTGGGCTTGATGCAGTGGCTCATGCCTATAATCCCAGCACTTTGGGAGGCTAAGGTGGGAGGATAACTTGAACCCAGGAGTTCAAGACCAGCCTGTGCAATATGGCAAGATCTCACCTCTAGAAAAAAATTTAAAAATTAGCTGGGCGTGGTGGTGTGCCCCTGTGGTCCCAACTACTGGGGAGGCTGAGGTGGGAGAATCACTTGAGCCTGGGAGGTTGAGGTTACAGTGAGCCTTGTTTATGCCACTGTATTGGACAACAGAGCAAGACCCTGTCTCTGAAAAAAAAAAAAAAAAAAAAAAAAAAGGAATCTGAAGTCATTTTGAAGCCTGCCTCTTTGAGATCTCTCTCTCTCTAGAAGCTTTCATATTTTTTGTCCTCAGCATTCTTAAGTTTCACAGTGTTATGTTTCAATGTATATATTTTTCATTCATTGCATTGGGCACTTAGTAGACCATTTCAATCTAAAACCTCATTTTTATATAATTTTTCTCAGAATGTTTCTGCTCCCAATAAGTCATGCCACATTTGCATGTGCTTGACTTTTTTTTTTTTTTTTGGAGATGGAGTCTCGCTCTGTCACCCAGGCTGGAGTGCAGTGGCATGATCTCATCTCACTGCAACCTCTGCCTCCCAGGTTCAAGTGATTCTCCTGCCTCAGCCTCCCGAGTAGCTGGGACTGCAGGCGCGTACCACCACGCCTGGCTAATTTTTTGTATTTTTATAGAGTTGGGGTTTCACCGTGTTAGCCAGGATGGTCTCGATCTCCTGACCTCGTGAGCCACCCACCTTGGCCTCCCAAAGTGCTGGGATTACAGGCATGAGCCAACACCCCTGGCCCTGCTTGACTCTTATTAGTCCCTTTCCCTTACTTCCCTGCTTCTTTCTGTGGGGTTTTATTTTTCCCCTTTGTCAGCTCTTGCCAGGTTACCAAGCATACCCTGTCCCTGGCTTTCTTGGTTGCTCCCAAATCTGTGATGGCTTGCTCTGTTGCCCAGGCTGGAATGAAATGGCACGATCTCAGCTCACTGCAACCTCTGCCTCCCGGATTCAAGTGATTCTCCTGCCTCAGCCTCCTGAGTAGCTGGGATTACAGTCACCATTTCAGCTAATTTTTGTGTTTTTAGTAGAGACGGGGTTTCACCATGTTGGCCAGGCTGGTTTCAAACTCCTTTGTCATCTGCTCAGAGGGAAGAAGGTCTCAACACTGAAAGGAAGCTCTGAGTATGTGGGTGAGGCTTGCTGACTTTGAGCTTCACCCTACGGTGATCTGGATAGGCCATGTACGGAGAAACATCTGATTCAGGATTTTAAGTTATTTCTTTTTGGATTGGTCATGTTCCCCAGAGCAGTCTTCTGATCTCTTTTTTGGAAGATGGAAGTTCTGGGAGCTGAGTGGGGTTGAGGGGGTTGGGGTTGGGGTTGGCTCTCAGTATTTAGCATTCATGAAAGTTATAGTCATTTCATGCCCCTGTTACTGGTAAACTATCTAGGTCCTCACCTGTGCTGGGCCAGCCCCCATCACATCCTCTAGTCTACTCTCTTCAGATAATAGACTTCCAATGGCAGGTATGGTAACTCACACCTGTAATCCCAGCACATTGTGAGGCTGAGGTGGATGGATCACTTGAGGCTAGCAGTTCGAGACCAGCCTGGCCGACATGGTGAAACCCCTCTCTACTAAAAAAAAAAAAAAAAATACAAAAATTACCTGGGCGTGGTGGTGGGCACTTGTAATCCCAGTTGAGGATTACTTGGGAGGGTGAGGCACGAGAATCATTTGAACCCAGGAGGCAGAGGTTGCAGTGAGCCGAGACTGCGCCACTGCACCTGCACTCCAGCCTGGACAACAGAGTGAGAGACCCTGTCTCAAAAAAAACATAAATAAAATAGATAAATAAGATAATAAACCTCCAGATGTCTGTTGGAGCAGGGCAGGAACCATTACCCAGAGGCAGTGAGGGGCTCTGAGAAGGTGCTTTTCACATGTTCCTCTTATTTAACCAGTCTACCACAGCTGGAGAAGCACTGGGTGCTGCCAGCTCCTGAGCCTCAGATCATTTCATTGTTTTCCCTTTTGCAGGTTTCAAGCTCAGCTGTGTCATACCTGCTTAGTCAATTACTACTGACTTCCAGTTTCCAAAATGATGCTCTGGTTTCCGTTCCTATTTTCTCCATCTTTTTTTTTTTTAAAGCCTAGTCAGCTGGGCATGGTGGCTCACGCCTGTAATCCTAGCATTTTGGGAGGCTGAGGCGGGAAGGATCCTTTGAGCCCAGGAGTTTGAGACCAGCCTGGGCAACATGGTGAAATTCCGTCTCTACAAAACATACAAAAATTAGCCAGGCGTGGTGGCATATGTTTGTAGACCAAGCTACTCAGGAAGCTGAGGTGGGAGTATTGCTTGAGCCCAGGCAGTTGAAGCTGTAGTGAGCTGAGATTGTACCGCTGCACTCTAGCCTGGGGGACCGAGTAAGACCCGGTCTCAAAGAGGAGAGGAGAGAAGAAAGAAGAGAAGAGAAGGAAAGAAAGGAAGAAAGAAAGACTAATCAAGTGCAATAGTGAGAAGTAGGTAAAGAGTAGAACAAGGAGTTCAATCTGTAACTGACTGAACAATCAATTGAGATAACTCACTACCTTTGGACAAGCCTCTATCTTTACCTTAAAAAAAATCATTTTAGATCGCGCCACTGCACTCCAGCCTGGGCGACAGAGCGAGACTCCATCTCAAAAAAAAAAAAAATCATTTTGGCTTTAGTGAGGTTTTAGGAGAGAGTAAAATTAGCTACATTTGTTTAATCCATCATCTCTGAAAAAGAGCCCAACTCATCTTTTGCTTTTTTTTTTGAGACAGAGTCTCACTCTGTCATCCAGGCTGGAGTGCAGTGGCGCGATCTCGGCTCACTGCAAGCTCCGCCTCCCGGGTTTATGCCATTCTTCTGCCTCAGCCTCCCGAGTAGCTGGGACTACAGGTGCCTGCCACCACGCCCAGCTAATTTTTTGTATTTTTAGTAGAGACGGGGTTTCACCATGTTAGCCAGGATGGTCTCGATCTCCTGACCTCGTGATCTGCCCACCTCGGCCTCCCAAAGTGTTGGGATTACAGGTGTGAACCACCGCACCCGGCCTTGCTTCCTCTCTTTGCCCGTTCTCCACAAGGCAACCAGACTGATCCCTATACAAATATAAATAAGACCATGGCACCTTTCTGCTTGAAGTTCTCCAATAGCTTTCCACTGTGCTTTCAGTTCTCTTCTGTGTCTCCATCGTGACCACACAAACCCTTTGTGATCTGGCCCTGCCTGCCTTTCCTCCTCACTCACAGCACACCAGCGCCCCCAGATCAGAAACCTCCTTTCTGACTCCACCTCACAGCCTTTGCACTTACTGGTCCCCTGCCTAGCCACAAGCCACGTATGACTGACTGACTGACTGACTGTCTGTCGTCCGTCCGTCCGTCCGTCCGTCCGTCCGTCCGTCCGTCCATCCGTCCATCCATCCATCCATATATCTATCTTAGAAGGAGTCTCGCTCTGTCGCCCAGGCTGGAGTGCGGTGGCGCAATCTCGGCTCACTGTGCCTTCTGGATTCAAGCGATTCTCACGCCTCAGCCTCCCAAGTAGCTGGAACTGCAGGCTCAAACCACCACACCCGGCTAATATTTTTTGTATTTTTGGTAGAGACAGGGTTTCACTGTTGGCCAGACTGGTCTCAAACTCCCGGCCTCAAGTGATCTTCCTGTCTCAGCCTCTCAAAGTGTTGGGATTACAGGCATGAACCACCGCGCCCAGCCACTTTTTAAGTATGACTACTTAAAAAGCACAGGCTAGAATATTCTTGGCTCAGAACTGTACATTGTTCCTTCTTATCTCCAAGTCTGATCTCAAACACCACTTCCTCATAGAAACTTTCTCTACCACCCGCTAACCTAATATACTAACTCCCCTCCCACAGTTTTTCACATCACCCTGTTTATTTCCTTCACAGCACCTAAACAAGAATTATAGCCTGGGAAGGTCATTTACTTGCTTACTAGCTGTTTCCTGTGTCATAATGTAAGCTGCATAAGGGCAGGAATCTTTTCTGCCTCACCTCCATATTTATAGCCTCACCTCCAAAATGGTGTCTAGCACATAGAAGGCACTTAACAGATATTTGTTGAATAAATCCTTCTTTCCTGAACACCTAGCACACTGCCTGGTGCATAACGAGAAACTGATAAAAGTTGAAAAGAGTCCAACCAGTCCAATCCCTTAATCTGCAGACAAGTAAGGTCATGTTTAGAAGGTTAAGAACCTTATCCATAGCTTCACTGCAAGCTAGCAGTTTCCATCATGGTAACCCTTTTCAAACTCAAACTCCAATGTGCATACAAATCACCTAGGAATTCACCTTGAGATTTT
Organism: Homo sapiens; assembly: GCF_000001405.40. Lineage (NCBI taxonomy): Eukaryota > Metazoa > Chordata > Mammalia > Primates > Hominidae > Homo > Homo sapiens. The sequence continues at coordinate 2,082,243 of NT_167247.2, forward strand.
GTTAAAATGCAGGTTCTGATTCAGCTGGTCAGGGCCAGGGCCTGCAATTTTGTATTTCTAACAAGCTTCGCAGTGATGCTGCAGCTGCTGCTGGGTAGAACACAGTTTGAGTTGCAAAGCTGTATGCCATGTTCAACCTGTCAAGTCACCCAGGAATTTAACATAATAACAAAAGATGTTTTTACCTTCATTATGCTTTCAGCCTGTACCAACTCTTGGCAAAAACAAAATGCATAATATTGCTATCCTTTGGGTAAAGGTCTCAAAGTACAGTTGATTTTCATTGTTCTTGGTAGTTCTGTTCTATAAAGTAGCCATGAATGCTGAATTAGTTAATACCTAATTTGTTCCTAGAAGAAATACAGGCTAGGTTCCCGTGAGCCTCTGGTCAAAACATTTTCATCAACTGATCAACATAGAGCCTTGCTTTATATGTGTTTCTGTTTAAAGACACCTTATGTAAAATATATTGTTGATTCATTAACACTGAACTCACAGCTAACAGCAGTATAACTTATGCATGAACGAAGCTTACCTAACACATGTATTTCTCCCATAAGGCACATCATAGCCCGCTTGCACTAAAGGACACTAGACAGCACTACAGCACTGATGCTTGGGGGCCATTTTAAAGAGTGAATTCACCAATAAAAAGCACAAAAATGCAAAAAACACGGCAGTAAATATACTGTGAAAATAACACGGCTTACGGTATGAGAGCTGAAACAAGGCAGCAGAGCATCTCCTTGATCAACCTCACCTGGGTACTGTGCGTGTCTGCAAAAGATCCTGAAAGTGCTGCGACTTTATTGGTAACCTTTTGAGGTTACCAATACATTTTAGTGAATAGGCAAATTCTCAGATACGAATAATGAAGAATGAAGATCAACTATACTTCCTGGCAATATCAAGGGCTGCCCATATCTCACTTTGCAGGATTCAATGTCCAAGTCCATGTTTTCCTTCTTCATACCCTTTTTTAATTAACCAGGGCTGCCGCTAGCCCATAGCATGCCTCTGTGCAAATCAGAAATTCCTCTGTGTAGATGCAGACCCATGTCAGAATGCACTGCTTGATTAGAGGGGCATGGGCCGGATCTGAGCTCGGATCCACTTTCTCAGTCAGATGCCTTTGCACGGGCACAGCCTGCTCCAAACATATGATCAGCCTTATTGATCATATCCCTTCTTGGCCTTCTCTTTTTTTTTTTTCTTTTTTTGAGATGGAGTCTCACTCTGTCACCCAGGCTGGAGTGCAATGGCGTGGTCTCAGCTCACTGCAACCTCTGTCTCCCGGGTTCAAGCAATTCTCCGGCCTCAGCCTCCCAAGTAGCTGGGACTACAGGTGCGTGCCACCATACCTGGCTAATTTTTGTATTTTTAGTAGAAACAGGGTTTCACTATGTTGGCCAGGCTAGTCTCGAACTCTTGACCTTGTGATCCACCTGCCTTGGCCTACCAAAGTGCTGGGATTACAGGCATGAGCCACCGCGCGTGGCCTTTTTTTTCTCTTTTTTGGACAGGATTTCACTGTCACCCAGGCTGGAGTGCAGTAGTGTGATCTCGACTCACTGCAACCTGCGCATCCTGGCTCAAGCAATCCTCCTGCCTCATACCCCAAGTAGCTGTGACTACAGGCCCGAGCTGCCATGCCTGGCTAATGTTTGTATTTTTCGCATAGACACGGTTTCACCATGTTGCCCAGGCTGGCCTTGAACTCCTGAGGTCAAGCAATCAGCCCGCCTTGGCCTCCCAAAGTGCTGGGATTACAGGCATGAGTCACCACACCCGGCTGGCCTTTTCTTTAAAGCTTTTCAGCTGTAACGTCTGAGTCTTTTAAATCTCTCCTCATATGGGGGAGTTGGTCCAGAGATGGAGAGCCAGAATAAGACCAAAGTTAAAGTATGAGAAATAGTGTAGTGGTGTCCTGAGATGGACAGCCTGAGAGGAATGGGGAAGGGGCAGAGAGTGGCCTGGCAGTGGCTCTGACCTGAAGCTGATAGGCCAGGTCAGCCTGTGCTCGGCGGGTGTTGACCTCGATGTCATAGGCGGCCTTCTTCAGTTCGTAATCTCTCTGTGCCTTGGCCATCTCGATCTCACTCAGGTACTGAGCAGACACCTTTTCCTGCTTGGCTTTAGCTTCCTGTCCAAGCAGAGATCAGGTAGGAAATGTCAGGGCAGGGGGAGAAAGGCCACGGTGACAGCCTGCTTCCCACCAAGGTTCTCTTTCTGCCTCATGTATTTTCCCTGCTCACCCAGCACCCCTGCTTCTTCTCAGTTGTGCCACTTCTATCCCCTTTCCCACTAAGCAACCCCCATCTCTCTCACCCGGATCCCAGCATCTCTCTTGGCCTCTGCTTCTCCAATCCGTGCATCTTTTTGGACTTGAGCTGTTCGAGCCTTCCCCAAAGAGTGCAAATAGTCCTGTGGGAGAGATGTAGAAATTAGTCCTTTGGAGGGCTTAAGAGATGGGAGCAAGGAAGTGGGGAAGGATCAATTGCCTAGTTTTACCTGGTCATCGTGAATGTCCTTCAGAGTGTAGCTAACCACACTGATGCCCATGTTGACCAGGTCTGAGGAGGCCACTTTGAAAACCTGTTCTGAGAATTTCTGCCTGTCCTTATAGATCTCCTGTGATAACAGGATGGTGGGGAGAAGGGATGTAAGTTTTTTTTTTTTTTTTTTTTTTGCTCACTGCAACCTCTGCCTCCTGGGTTCAAGTGATTCTCCTGCCTCAGCCTCCCAAGTAGCTGGGATTACCGACACCCATCACCATACCCAGCTAATTTTTGTATTTGTAGTAGAGAAGGGGTTTCACCAGGTTGGCTAGGCTGGTCTCGAACTCCTGACCTCAAGTGATCTGCCCACCTTGGCATCCCAAAGTGCTGGGATTACAGGCATGAACCACCCTGCCCGGCCGGGATGTATGCTCTTGGATCCACTGTCTCTCACAGACTAGTGTGGGCCTTGGGCCCCCCTCATTTTGACATCCTTCCAGATGGTTCCCTGCCCCTAGGCCAACCTCCACAGTCATGTGGGCCATGATGGCCCTCTGGTGGCCCTCTAACGTCTCCAGGGCAATGTGGGCAATCTCAGCCTCCGTCTTCCCCAGGAACATCTGACAGGCGGCCGCCAACATCTCCTTGTTCTGCCCCTGGATTTTTACCTGTAGCCAGAGTAGGGGTAGGAAAGGTGTGGTGGGGGTCTCATGAAGTCAGAGAAAAAGCAGAGAGAGAAGGGAGAGCCCTCTAAGAAATGCTTCTTCCATTTCAGGGAAAGAAAGGAGGAGGAGGCAAGTGCCTTGGGGTGCCTGGAAAAGATGAGACTAGCAGAGGAACTTCTCTGCAGGCAAGGGTTGAGAAGACTGTGGCC